>NC_000006.12:158555638-158707153 GCF_000001405.40 Homo sapiens
AGCTTAAAAATGTGCGTGAAAAGAAGCCATAATATACAGCTAGCTGGAGTCCCAGAAGACTTGAGAGAATCCCATTGACTTGACTTGAGAATCCCATTCTGCTTTTTATTAATCTCTCAGGAGCAAAGGAAACCCTATAAATTCTGTCAGCGAATGTCAGGAGTTTGGACAATGTTTAGATGGCGGCTTTTAACTAGCCATCGTGCGCCCACCGTTTAGAATGTTTTTCTCTTGGAAGATTTTTCAGAAACAAGCAAGGGAAAAAAGACGAATCATTTATAGACACATAACTAAACCAAAATCAGTGTAGTCACAAGCTTTAACTCAGCATGCAGATCAAACAAAATATTAAATTAGACATGCAGAAAGAAGCAAAAGTAAATTAACCAGAAAAGACACGTCTCAGAGACAGAATGTCAATTCTGCAGAAACCAGAGTACTCAAACCAGCATGTCTTTCTACCAACAAGGACTTTTCAGAAAAGACAAAAAAGTCTTTTATCATCCCAGTAGGGATGTAAGGCAGCCTTATAACCAAAACGAATCCAGAATAATATGAAAAAGCTGCTACCAAAAAGAGGGAGCGTGGGCCTGAGAGAAGAGTCGCCTTGGCCAAAAAGGCAAGCTGTGCCAGCAGAGTTCAGAGGGCTCAAGTGAGTACCACACACCCGTTCTAAGAATCATCACTTCCTTCCCGTAGTGATCCTTTTCCCGATTCCATTTCTGACACATTTGCGTCAACCTAAATAACAAACAAAGAGGCTCTCTAAAAGAAATGATATTTATCCAGGAATAGGGCATTGCAATGGGAATATATGTGCCATAGTGAACTATGTGCCTTTTCAGGGAGGTATAGAAAGATGAAGGTTTTTAAAGGAACAATGGGGAGGATTACATAATTGTTTTGAGTTAATTATTCTTGGCTACAAGGATCACTCACAAGGGGGATGCCAGTCTCGCGTTGGACAGGCAGTTACTGGGCAGATGTCCTCGCAAAAGTGTAAGATTGCGATGGTCTTTGTGCAAGGTTATGGTTTTTATAGTCTTTTGTTATGGTTTTTGTTATCAAGCATTTATGCACGAGAATCCTCTTCATGGTGTTCTCTGGCTCTATTTGTCAGGATTGTTTTTGGTATTTTTTTTGAGATGGAGTCTCGCTCTGTTGCCCAGGCTAGAGTGCAGTGACGCCATCTTGGCTCACTGTAACCTCTGCCTCCTGGGTTCAAGTGATTCTCTTGCCTCAGCCTCATGACTAGCTGGGATTACAGGCACCTGCCACCACACTCAGGTAATTTTTGTATTTTGTTGGCCAAGCTGGTCTCAAACTCCTGAGCTCAAGTGATCCGTGCTCTTCAGCCTCCCAAAGTGCTGGGATTATAGGCATGAGCCACTGCACCTGGCCTGTTTTTAATACAAGTGACTCCATTTTAATTCTGACAACTTTCACAGTAGCTTATCTCCAAAGGCGGTGCACCTCCTAGGATCCCAGCACTTTGGGAGGCTGAGGCAGGCAGACTGCTTGAGCCCAGGAGTTCAAGACCAGCCTGGACAACATAGTGAAACCTTGTCTCTACAAAAAATACAAAATTAGCTGGTTGTGTTAGTGCACACCTGTAGTCTCAGCTACATGGGAGACTGAGGCCGGAGGATCTTTTGAGTGGGAGGCAGAGGCTGCAGTGAGCCGAGATTGCGCCACTGCATTCTAGCCTGGGTGACAGGGAGACTCTGTCTCAAAAACAAACAGGTCATGTGAGAAATGGCTGATAGATCACACCAGGCTTCTTAGAGCCCAGAATAGTTTGGGTCCCTTTCCCCTTTTCATAACATGATCATAGCACCTTTCATTTCCTTTTCTATCACAGCTGTAATTATTTATTTATTTATTTATTTATTTATTTGAGACAGAGTCTTGCTCTGTTGCTCAGGCTGGAGTGCAGTGGCGTGATCTTGGCTCACTGCAAGCTCCACCCCCTGGGTTTAAGCAATTCTCCTGCTTCAGCCTCCCAAGTACCTGGGATTACAGGCACCCGCCATCACGCCCAGCTAATTTTTGTATTTTTAGTAGAGATGGATTTCGCCATATTGGCCAAGATGGTCTTGAACTCCTGAGCTCAGGTGATCCCCGCCTCACCTTCCCAAAGTGCTGGGATTATAGGCGTGAGCCACCATGCCCATGCCCGGTCAATTAAGTAATTATTTAGGTTATTGTTTGTTCTTGACTAGAAAAGGACAGGGACCTCATCTGTCTATTCGTGTTGTGTTTCCAGAGCTGAGAGTTGTTCCTGGCACACACACACTGCTCCATTAATGTTTGAAGAACAAATAAATGAGAAAACGAGTATGACGGGAGAAGAGGAGCTGAGGGCCATGTGGTTGTTCACATCCTTGAAGGAGTGTTGGGAGAGGGCTCATGCTGACCTGGGTGACGCTGGACAGCAAATCCAGGGAGATCTGACAGGAAGGAATTGCCAGGAGGTAGTTTGGAGTCAAATGCACACAGTGAGGGCCAGGGGTCCTCGGGGTGGTGACAGTTTCCTCTCGCTGGAGATGCCTCAGGAGAGACCAGGCAGCTGGCACAGAGCAGGGATTTCCACATCATCTCATGCTGCTCTGGGCTGGAGGTAGATACTGGCTGCCTCTAGGCAAATGTGGCCAGCAAATGTGCTTTGTTTAGTCCCTCCCAGGGTTTAAGATATTTTTTCGAATTAGTTTCCAACATTTTAGAATCAGAAGTGTCGAAAGACAAAATGACAGCAAATTTAAAGATCCTAAGTAGCTTTTCTTCATGATTCTAGAATCGGGCAGCCCTCAGAACCAACAGGTTCAAAGGACTTTGGGGCTGCAACGTGGTTAGACAACATTTATGGACAGAAAGTGGAACTGAGGCGCAGAGACAGCTTAACTGGTTACAGGTTTATGTTCTAGCTTATTTGAATCAGCTAACCACCTGCCAATGACAGAAGCTCACTGGCTGTGATTGGCTGAGACTCAGCTGTTTGTTACAAAAGCATCCTCCTCAATTAGGGTGTCTTCTCTTTTATGTTAACTATGCCAGGCTGCAGCTCCTTATGTAAGGACTCAAGTAGGGAGGCATCCTCAGGCCTAAACATTTAACAGAAGGTGTTGCATGAAAACGCATGTTTGGGCTGGTTGCGGTGGCTCACGTCTGTAATTTAACAGGCTCCGGGGTTGGGGACCCCTGCTCTAGCTCATAGAACTCCCTCCGACTCACCCCTTCCCGCGCCCCACGTCCCTGTGAACAGTCTGTCCCTGCAGGTACCCAGTTTCTGTTCTCCGGTCTTGTTGCTATGAAGAACCCTTTCCCTCTGCTTATGTATGAAAAGAACTTAAGAAATAATCTTTTGTTATTCCTTGAAGAGTTGCGGTTTAGGATTCAGAGCACTAATGAGATTTTGTGTAACTATTCCTTGGTGTCCTGGCTTAGGGTGTGCTTTGCTTGGTATCTCCCCCTTTTAACCCCCCTCTTCCTAATATCCACCTCACCCTCCAGATTCAGCCCAAACTCTGCATTCTGTCCCCTACCTTCTCCACTCCCCCAAGGCGAGTTAGGCACCCTTCCTCACTGTAGCACCCTGAGCTAAGGCTACCTAACTTACTGTTGGTAATTTTCTTTGCCTGTAATTTCACTGAGGGCAGGAACTGTTCCTTATTCATGTCCACACTTTTCTGCCAATAGTAAGCCTGTTTACAGTTTAGTGAATGAATGAGGATACATTGCAAAGGAAGCTTGGAAGTCCTTTATTTAACTCATGCAGACCGACTTTAAACCCACAGCACACGGGAACACGGGACATTTTGAGTAATGCTCCAAAGAGAATCTCAGAAATAGCCAAACCTTGGTTCTCATCCATTCTTGATTACAGAAATGGGGAACACTGAGCCAAGATGCGAAATCAGGAAAGTGCTTTTGGTCCACTGGTCTAGCTGCAGTCTAGAAGCGGCTTGCGGGAGAAGCTACCAGAAAGAGCCCGGAAGGTTCCTGTCATCATTCGGGGTGGCAGAAGTTTGTCCTGGCTTTTAACCTTTTTTGGGGTCACAAGACCCTTAGGGAATGAATATACAGCTATAGCTCCTCTCCCTAGAAAAATGCAGACACCCATAGTGTTTTCCAGACAACTGCAGGGCATTCGTGGACTCCCGAGGCCCATCCTTACGCCCCGACACTCGGGAAGTAGGAGTGAATGAATGCGCTGTTTACCTGCCCTAGGGACAAGAGGTAAACTAAGTCATTCATTCACTCATTCCTTCTGTCTTGAGCCCCAGCTCAGGGCTAGCCTGGGTGCTCCCGGCCGTGGGGCTCCGCCCCGGCACGGGGCCACGAAGGAGGGCCACCCCCCTCGCCGCGCGCCCGCGGCCCCGCTTCCACCGCGCCGCGCCCTCTTCCGCCGTGAGAGTCGCTTCCGCGCACGTGATCTCGGCGTCGCGCTCTGATGAGTTTTCCGCGGCCGGCCGCTGCTCAGCCGCTGTCGCTCCGGCTCCGGCTGCGGCTGCCGCTGCCGAGGCTGCTGCGCGGCGCCTGGCGGGCTCGGGACGCGCGGGCCGGGGCCGAGGGCTCTGGGCGCCGAGATGGAGCCGTGAGTCCCCGGCCGAGCGGGCGGGCTGGCTGGCTCTCCGGACACTCCGGCCGAAAGTTGGGGATCCCTGGCTCCCGGCGCCGTGCCGCAGGGTCCCTGGCGCCCACGTGGAACTGGGGGCAGGGAAAAGGGCGCTGAAGGGGGCTTCGCGGGCGGGTCAGGCGGAGGTGTTTGCGCGGGGCGAGAGTAGACCGGGGCCGGGGCTCCCTCCTGCCTGCCCGCCCGGCCGCGGTTAGAGACCGGGATGCGGTCGGGGTTCCGGGACGGGGCTGCGAGCCACAGCGCTCACCGGGGGGCCGAGAGAACCGGGGGCGCTGCGGCCCTTCCCCGGCGTAGGGTGGCCGCCCGCACGGAGTCCCGCCGCCTCCCGGGCAGCCTCTCCTGCCGGAAAGGCCCCGCCCCGTCGTCCCCTCGGTATCGAGAGCGCCCCGCGCTGCCCTGCGGTCTCGCCCAGCGCCGGGTGCGAGGCTCTCAGAGGCGATTGGTGACGTGGGCACCGGGGAGCCTGCCGCAACAGCCCCTTTGGACTCGGGGTGTCGAGTTATATGAGTTTTATGCGTTTTACGATCTGCTGACTTTGGGCTTTTTTTTTTTTCTTTACCTCTTTGAAGTCCAGGGTTTTTAATGAGGAAAAACCTGTTTGGGGTCTCGTGGACGCCATCCCTAAAGCTTGCTTTTGACCCAGCAGTCGCCTAGGTGTCCCCCTGGGCGCATCTGGAAAAGAAGGAGACGGAGTTAACCAGAGGGTTAGCGCCGCGTGGAGTTGCAGAAAGTCCGGGAGAAGGAGTGGCCCATATGTGCAGCCGCGCCTGGCGCAGGAGGCTTCCAGGGCCGGCTCCCTGCACTGAAGGCAGCCTCCGAGGGGCCTGGGCGCGCTTCTTGGCTTATATGCGGTTTTTGAGGCAGAAGGGTTTTGCTTTGGATCTTTGCTGATTTCTCTGGCTGTGGACGTGGTCAGAGAAGTGACACCCAGGCCTGTTGCCTCAGCGCAAGTGCCTGTGACAGAGAGATCTGTTTTTCCTTCTGCTTCCTTAGAAGTTTCTGACTTTGGTATGTTGCTTTAGCACCTCTTGGGAAACTGGAATGGCATCAAATATCAGACCTATGTGGATGTTTTAAAGATTTTAAAAGCCAAGTGGAGGTAGGTTAGCAGTATTGCCTCTGCACAACTCCAGAGGGCAAGATTCTTGTGCGGCCTATGTAAATAATACTGCTTGGAACGGTGTCTTGTGGAACTGTGGCCTTGTAGCAGAGTGACAGCTGCGTGTTACAGGAGTTCTCTCACGCGCTGCCCCTTGGAGCTGCATAGGTGGGCTGGGTGTGCTTTTTCAGTAGGAGAGAGGCCGGGGACGTGAGGTGGTGAGGGCCTTGGCCAGGACAGGGATCTGGGTCTTCTGCCAGGGTCCTGCGCTGTTACAGGACAGGGAACTAGACCAAAGAAAGCAGTTGACCAAGGAAAGGTCCCGAGGAGGACAAGCAAAACGCAGCTTGAATTTTGTGCGAGTTTGAGGCCTCCCCCTGCAGCTGTAAGCGCTTTGTGCCTCAGGCTCTGTGGAGCACTAAGAGGGTTAGGGAAGACGGAGGGGGATGAGGGTATCTGGAAATCAGCCCACCACCATCGGCCAGCATTCCAGGCACCTACCTGGAAACTGAGAAGAGTTTGGTAGCAGATAAAATCCTCCTAAAAAACAAGCCTGAAAATCCGAAGTGCGTCCTGGACTTAGGTGACTGAGTGTTCTCTGTCCTTGTCTGGTGTGCCTGAGAGCCCAGAGGTGAGAAAGGTGAGAAAGAAGAGAAGTCCAGGGAAAGAATGGGAGAGAACAGAGCCGCTTGGAGGAGCAGGGGCAGCTCCACCACTCTGCTTACGGTGTGTAGGGGACCGTCCCCCTGCAGACCCTGGCCTTATGACCTCTGACTCTCATTCGGCCCAGCCTGCTCTTTAAAAATGTAGGAGAGATTGCCATCAAAACTCATCAGCAAAAAAGGTTAGCAGTTCTTAACAGTTTTACCTTGAACTCTCCTGCAGTCTCCATTCCTTCTCTGATGATGCTAGGGACGGGAGAGGTGCTAGGAGTCTGAGGACGGTGTGGGGCGTCTCATTTGCTAACCTGACTTGTTTGAGCTACAGGGCTGCACGGAGTTGAGACTCTCATGCTCACATGTTGCTTTGGTCTTACTTTAGCATTTCTCTGCAAATTTAAATAAGGCTGTTTTTGTGTGTGTGTGTGTGTGTGTGTGTGTGTCTTGCTTGGCACGTGAAGCCATTTTTTAGTGTGTATTTTATGTGTCTTTTTCATCCTGGGGGCATTTCAATGTAGAAGTGTATTAATTAGAACCACCTTCGGCTAGCAGCAAAGCATGGCACAGACAAATTAAGTATCCTGGAGCCCTGCTGTGGTTTCAGGGTCCTGGGCCTCCTGAGTCTCCCAGTGCTTTTGAGGGCACACCAGGCTTGGGTCAGTATCCTATTCCTGCAATCATTTAATTATTTAGGACTTTGTCTCATGGAATGGTTTTTTGTTCTGACCAAAATGATCTCTAGAAATAGTAAAAGATAACTGTGAGTGTTCACCATGTAGCAAGTGCCGTCGTAAGCACCTTACATCCATTGTTTCGTGGAATCCTCACTATCACCTTTCGTGAGGAAGTTTCTCTTTTCCCCATTTTGCAGATGAGGAAACTGAGGTATGAAAAAGACAAGTGAGTTTTTCAAGGCTTTAGAGCTGAGCCCAAACCCTGGGCCACCTGGCTCTAGAGCCCACACTCCTGACTGCTGTACTCTGCTCCTCTCAATAACAGCTGACAGTTCATGGTTACTTGGCAAGGGTTTTCACGTCACAACGGATTTAATTGCCACAGCATTGCTAGGTGGTGGGTTCCCTAGTTTCCTGAATTTTCAGAAACGGGATGTTTTGTTTGTTTGTATTTTGAGACAGAGTCTCGCTCTGTCACCCAGGCTGGAGAGCAGTGGTGCGATCTCGGCTCACTGCAACCTCTGCCTCCCGGGTTCAAGCGATTCTCCTGCCTCAGCCTCCTGAGTAGCTGGGCTTACAGGCAAGTGCCACCATGCCCGGCTAATTTTTGTATTTTTAGTAGAGTCAGGGTTTCACCATGTTGGCCAGGCTGGTCTCGAACTCCTGACCTCAGGTGATCTACCTGCCTCAGCCTCCCAAAGTGCTGGGACTATAGGTGTGAGCCACCACGCTTGGCCAGGAACTGGGGTTCTTGAGAGGTAGAGTAACTGCCCCAGGTTACCCTGCAGTGGATAGGTCCAGGCAGCTGGCCCCCAGCCCAGGTTCCTAACCACCAGGCTGCACTGCCTGGAGCCTCCTGCTAGGGCCAGCACTGCTTGTGCTGAAATGGGGCTCACTGGCCAGCGTTTGACCTACTTCCTTGTTCCCTGTGGCCTGGGTAGGATATTTGCTGAACTGACCAACATGCTCCTGCGTGTGAGTCACTGGGCTTGCAATCTGGAAAGGATACACATGAACTCACCAGTCCTTGGGTAGCTTAGACCATTGTTTATTAAATTGTGTTTTGAGGTGGTTAGGCCTTGAATGTTCACATAATAGCTTTGCGAACTCTGTTGCTCAGGCTGGAGTGCAATGGTGCGATCTCAGCTCACTGCAACCTTTGCCTCCCAGGTTCAAGCAATTCTCCTGCCTCAGCCTCCCAAGAAGCTGGAACTACAGGTGCGCGCCACCACACCTAATTTTTGTATTTTTAGTAGGGACACGGTTTTGCCATGTTGGCCAGGCTGGTCTTGAACTCCTGACCTCAGGTGATGCACCTACCTCGGCTTCCGAAAGTGCTGGGATTACAGGCATGAGCCACTGCGCCTGGCTTGTACTTAACTCTTGAATAGCTAGAGAAATGACTTATACCCAAGTTGGCTGATTGAAATTTTAGAGTTCCTATCCTGCTCCCTTTGAGAAGTTTCTTTTCAAAACCCATTAGCTGGTAGGTTACTTGAAAAGGAAAGATTTTAGTGAGGGGCCAAACAGTGAATGTGAGGGAGTGGTGGGCCTTCTTTCTGCCCCGACCTCCACATTCTGGGTGTGCATTTGTGGGTTCCAGTCCCACCTCCACACCCTGCTGCCTGGGGCCTCAGTGGGCCTGCATCCTCTCACCCCAGCCTGTGTTTTCCCACCTGTGAAATGGGCCGATGTGCCTGTCTTACAGGGAAGCTCCCAGCCTGGTACCAAATAGGTGCTCAGGAAATGCCAGCTCCCACCTCTGCGGCAGCCAGCTGGAGGGGAGACTTCATACAGTGGGGTCTTTGAAGATGTTGTTAGAATGAAATCCAAAATGCTTTCAAACAGAAAAAGTAGAGGAGAAAAAGCACAGCCATCGTTTCTAATAGCTAGCCTGGCTGAGTTCTTGCCACGCTGTTCTGACCACTATGTTTATGATTCCACCCGCACCTGCCAGCAACTCTGTGAGATGAATCTTCTGCCTCTCTCCATTTTGCAGATGAGGAAACTGAGGGTCTGGGGAACTGTTTACTTGCCTGCTGTCATGTGGTCAGGAAGTGGGGAGCCAGGCTGTCAGGCAACAGGCCGGCATTTTGGGCCAAAGGAGAAGAGATTATTTTTATACAGATTGGAAAAATAAAAACAACAGTGTGAGAATGGGCTGGGAGATTTAAAGTCCCCGACTACTGCTCAGATCCTAATTTGTCAATTCTCATGTGGGAGATGCCGGCATGAGTTGAACAAGCAGCAGGATGTGTAGTACCAGAAGTTCTCGGTCTTACCCGCCTACCGTCGTGGTGGTTTGCGGAGACCGAGATGAAGGTGTCTCTCACACCCCTTGGGCCCCTGCTGCGGATGCTGGTGTTGCTGGGTTCTGTAGAAGTGGGAATGCTGGTGCTGGCTTCCCTCACATCTCTGTCCCTCTCGCTGCAGGACAGCAATTTGAGGTGTTCTCACGACCTCTGCTTACCCGGATTGTATCTGTTTTGTGGTTCTGTGCAGCAGTCCTAGGGCAGCTGAGTGCTTGCGGACTGCTCGCCTCCCCTGCCGTGCCCTCCTGGCCCTGCTTTCTGAACCCCTCGTGAGCCCTATGTGGGAGGGGTAGGCACTTAGTGGGCAAAGTTGTGTTGGTGCCGTGGTCCCGAGGTGCTCAGTGCATCTAGTGGGGACATGGCTTTACAGCTGGCCAGGCCTGAGCAAGCATTGTGGCCTCAAGGACCAGGTCCCAGGGAGAAGGTTTTCTGGATGGGGCTGCCAGGAACTGCTGTGCCCCAGCTACAGAAGCAGAGGGCCAAAGCCAGAGCCACAGACAGCAGGAAGAGACAACGCTGGGGGGAGAAAGTTCAATGTTGCAATTCAGTGGTTCGCTTACCATTTACCATTGCAGGGAAAATAGGAGAACATGGAGGAAAACAGAAAAAAACAGGGAAGAGTGAGTTAGTAAAAATGAGAGGCATCGAAAGTTACTGGACCTGCACCATTCCTGAGGCTCAGTGCTGGCCTCTGGGGGTGGGAGGGGAGCTGCAGGTGTGGGGAGGGTGTGGTGTGGATCCACAGTGGAGCCCCTGCAATGAAATCCTGAAAACTGGTGCAGCGTGTCCTGCGGGCGAGTGGACAGTTGCTTTCCCCCACAGAGCCTCGCGGTGGGGGCGGGGGTGGAGTGACCTGTCAGTGGCCGCAGGATGGGCAGTGCCCCACAGCAGGGATGCCTGCTGTCTTGCGTTCTGAAAGGACAGTTCCCGGCACCTCGAGACAGGAGGTTTTCTATGCCTATGTGACTTTGTATGTTGCGTTTCCTTCTAAATTTTGTTTTATTTCTGGGGTGTGTGTACTGGTGGAGAACTTTGGATTTAGTAGAATATCTGAGGTGAATCTAAATAGATTCTTCCCAGTCTCCTGGCTTGTGTACCTGGACGGTTGGAGTTGTTGTGTCCTGAGATGGGCCAGGCCACAGGCACAGGACCAGGGGTTTGGTGTGAGGCAGGTCATGTGTGAGGTACCTGCTTGATAGCCAAACGGGCATGCCAAGTGGTTGAGTAGGGGTCTGGAGTTGAGGGGAGAGGACTGGGCTGAGGTCTAGAGCAGGCCATTGTTCATACCTGCATCCTCTCGCAAGCCCGAGACAGGATGAGATTACCAAGGGAGTGAGAGTAGAGAAGGGGAGGGGACAGAGAGCAGTGTGTCCCAGGATGATGATGGTGAGGGAGGTGATGGGGTGAGGAAGATGATGGCGAGGAGTTGATGAGGGAGGTGATGGTGAGGGAGGTGATGGTGAGCTCCTGAGGGAGGTGATGGGGTGAAGGAGATGATGGTGAGGAGTTGAGGGAGGTGATGGGGTGGAGGGAGGTGATACGGTGAGGGAGGTGATGGTGAGGAGTTGAGGGAGGTGATGGGGTGGAGGGAGGTGATACGGTGAGGGAGGTGATGGTGAGCTCATGAGGGAGGTGATGGGGTGAGGGAGGTGATGGGGTGAAGGAGATGATGGTGAAGAGTTGAGGGAGGTGATGGGGTGAGGGAAGTGATACGGTGAGGGAGGTGATGGTGAGGAGTTGAGGGAGGTGATGATGAGGCTGTGGAGAGACCGACGGAAGTTTTCCAGCTCCTGTCTCATTTGGATTAGACACTCCACAAACCTCACCTTGCTTGGAAGCAGTCTTTTGGGAAAGAAAAGATGAATAATGAGGGGAGACCTGGCTCACGGTGATTTGCATTATGGATGCCATTTTGGGGATAGGCATTCCAGTAAAGGTGTGTTTAGTTTTTCTAGGAAACACATCTGTGATATTTTAAAGCACCTGTGAAAGTGAGATTAATTTAGAAAGGGCCCAAAGAGTCAAGGGGACCTTCAGGGGACAGTTTATTTCCTTGCCTTTGACAGATCTTCCAAGGGCCCCGCGGCTCTAGGCAGGCCAGAATTTGCGAGTGTATTAGATGCCTCTTGTGAAAAGCTGCATGGGCCAGGAGGGGAAACTGACATGTGGCCCCAGCAAGAAGAAGAGGCAGTGTTGAGAGCCGGCAGGGGTTTTCTAGGAAGTCTTCCTGGCCTGGGTAGCTGGGCCGAGGACTTCCTCAGCTGGCATGCTGACCCGGCTGGGCAGGTGGGGAAGCATGGAGCCCCTTGCCTAGCATCTCTCCACCAACTTGAGGGAACAACACAAACGCTTTTGGAATAACGAGTGGAAGTTGAGTTTGGTAGATGATTTTGTATGCCTCCCACGTGCCAAGCCGTTCGCCGTCAGGCACTCTGCTGTGTAGTGCAGACTGCATCTGTTGTAATGGTTTCAACTGTGGGCAGCCGTGAGAGATGGAGGGTGAGGGAACACTTCAGGGAGAAGGTGGGACACAGCTGAACCCTGGATGCTGGGTGGGATTGAGGTAGCTTTGCTGGGAGAAGAGAGAGCATCTTAGATCAGCAGAGCGCTGTGTGAGTGGGCCAGCCTGGAGTCTGGCTTGACCCTATTGGGCAGCATCATAGAATTGAAGCTCTGGAGTTGGATGCGCGGGTTTCAGTGTTGCACTTAGCAGCCTTGTGATCTAGGGCAAGTAATGGAACCTTCCTGAGTCTGAGCTTTCTCATCTGAAAGGGGTTGCAGTAGTACCTATCTCAGGGCTGTGATGACGGAGGGAGTGCGTATAATTCACATAGGATATGTGCAGGGTGGCAGGAAGGCTGGAGAGGGATTGTGGGGAAGGATCTCGGGGACTTTGAAAGGCCTGTCTAAACTTGATGGAGTTGGCTGCGGGGCACTGTACGCTTCCTGAGCAGGGCGAGGCTGTTAAAGTGCTGTAATGGCACAAAGGAAGGTGCGTTTGGAGGTGATGGCAGCAGCTGGCAGGAGTTTTTGGGGCCTGAACAGTGGGACTGGCGTGCTGGGGATGAAGAGGAACTGGGGAGCAAGGACTCAGCTCTTCCTGGCTGGCTGAAAGTGTGGAAGGAGCGAGAGAAGGGCATCTGAGATGGTGCCAGGTTTCAGGGTACGAGAATGGAGAAAGGGTGGAGGCAGGAAGTGGGCAGTGGAAGCGGGCTTTTCAGTAATGTTATTTTGTTTTTTAGCTCAGTTTGAAACCTTTTGACCTTGAAGTACTGTAGGGCTTCTAGGTGAAAACGTGTTGGGCAGCGCTGCTTCAGAGTGGGGTAGGGTGGGCAGGGAGGATGGCTCCTGAAGGCAGGAAGGACGGAGAGAGAAGCAGCAGGAGATGAGCTGGTGTTGGAGGACTGGTGCGAGGGGTGGCAGGAGTCTAGGACTAGAGGTTTCAGGAAGCACACGGGGACGACAGAGATGAGGAGAGGGAAGGCCTGGGGTCAGGGACCCCCAGGGACCCTCTCCTGTTCGTAGGCTGTGCATATTTTCTGCATCACAGACTTGCCTCTATGTGTTTAGAAATATCCTCCCTTGGGGGACTGATCAGAGAGGGCCATGGGCTCTCTTGGTCACTGAGACTTACTCGGTCACTGGTCTAGGTTGGCATGGTGTTAGAGACCTGTGAGCATTTTCAGCAGGAGGCAGAGCTGCCAGTGGGTTTCTGTTGCAGAACAGGAGCCGTGTTCTGAAGCGACTGGGGACTCCAGCCGCTGTGGTCACTGAGCTGGTCTCACAGCAGGGGGCTAGGTTAGTTCTGGCAAAGACACCTCCCCTCTCCCATCTTTACCTTGGCTTCTCAATGTTTTGTTGTTTTGCCCATGAGCAACAGTTTTAGAGCTATGATTGATCTGAAACGGGGTCTTGTTTCTGAGGTTTCTGAAGTCTGTGGTTTTTTGGCTCAAATCTTTTTTATTTTAATTTTTTAGTGACAGGGTCTCGCCCTGTTACCCAGGCTGAGTGCAGTGGTGCAGTCTTAGCTCACTGTAGCTTCAAATTTCTGAGCTCAAACGATCCTCCCCCCTCAGCCTCCAGAGCTGCTGGGACTACAGGCATGAGCCATGCTGGGCTGTTTCAGAACTTTTAGATTGGAAGTCGAGAGCGGAAAGAGTCGCAGAGGGGAAGGCATTGATCATCACGCAGAATTATCCTGTCCTGGGTGCTGCCTTGGCCCATGATAGCCCTGCAGGCTGCAGAGGGTCCCAGGACCCTAGGCCCTCCAGTGAGGATGCCTGCTTGTCAGGAAAATGAAGACAGCGGAAGCCAGGGCCTGGCGCCCACCCTCTCACCCACGAGCCTGTTGCAGCACAGGCGGTTATACCCAGCTTACACTTGCTTAAGAAGACAGATTATGTTGTTTTCTCTGTCTTTTTTCCTTTGAGTTGGATGACTTGATTGTTAAACCAGGAAAATTTCTAATAAGTTGGACTTAAGTAGAAGTTTTCGGGAAGGGGAGACAATGGATTTTATTGAGCCTTCTGAGAGAGACTGGCAGGTGCCTGGGGCGGGTTGTGCCCTCATGCCCTTTCTCTTTTTTTTTTTTTTTTAAATTGAGACAGGGTCTTGCTCTGTCGCCCAGGCTGGAGTACAGTGGCATGGTCTAGGCTCACTGCAACCTCCACCTCCCGGGTTCAAGCGATTCTCCTGCTTCAGCCTCCCAAGTAGCTGGGATTATAGGCATGTGCCATCACACCTGGCTAAGTTTTGTATTTTTGTAGAGATGGGGTTTCACCATGTTGGCCAAGGCTGGTCCCGAATTCCTGACCTCAGGTGATCTGCCTGCCTCGGCCTCCCATGCCCTTTCTGGGATTGCAGGCGTGAGCCACCGCACCCAGCCTCTCATGCCCTTTCTTAAGGCCTCTTTTTGCAACGTTCCTTCTCATTTGCTAAATAACTGTGCTAGTAGGGGGTCAATAATGTGTTTTTGAAATCAAGATTTAAAATATAGTTATTCTGGTTTTCTCTGCTTCCAAGTAATTTCTCTTGTGCTTTTAGCCTCTGCTTGGGTAGTTCTCGGAGCTCCATAGTCTTGGGACTGTGGCTGCCCCGGGGGACGGGACCTCCGAGAACGTTGTAGTGGAGGAACTCAGAAATAGCAGTGTCATTGTTTAAAAGCTACTTGAGCTTTACAGCAGAGGGCCAGAGATAGCAGAGTGTTTCCGTACACTTTTTTTTTTTTTTTTTGAGATGGAGTCTTGCTCTGTCGCCCAGGCTGGGGTGCAGTGGTGCAATCTCAGCTCAATGCAAGCTCTGCCTCCCGGGTTCACACCGTTCTCCTGCCTCGGCCTCCCGAGTAGCTGGGACTACAGGTGCCCGCCACAAAGCCTGGCTAATTTTTTTTTTTTTTTGTAGTTTCAGTAGAGACAGGGTTTCACCGTGTCAGCCAGGATGGTCTCGATCTCCTGACCTCGTGATCCGCCCGCCTTGGCCTCCCAAAGTGCTGGGATTACAGGCATGAGCCACTGCGCCCGGCCCCGTACACTCTTCTTCAATTCACAGGTGGGGAAACAGGTCTGGAGTCAGTATACGTGCCCAAGATGCTGCAGCCCTGCCCTCTGCACCCACACTCTGCAGAGGTAGCTCTGAGACAGCGCTGCAGGCTCCAACCTACACCAACTCCTCTGGGCAAGCCCTGTGGCTTCCCCTCAGGGGGGCACTTCACATAACCTGGCGCATTTATCAAAATGAAGACGTTGACCTTGGTGCAGTACTGTTAACTGAACTAAAGGCTTTATTTGCATTTCCCCACCATCTAGTCCATTTAGCTTTGTGTCATTTTTTTTTTAACTGAAAAGGCCCTGAGCAGCTGTAGGAATCTTCCATTCTGCAGTATTTTGTTTGTTTGTTAGGTTGGTTTTTTTTTTTGAGATGGAGTCTCGCTCTGTCACCTGGCTGGAGTGCAGTGGTGTGATCTCGGCTCACTGCAACCTCCAACTCCCTGGTTCAAGCGATTCTCCTGCTTCAGCCTCCTGAACAGCTGAGATTACAGGCATGTGCCACCACACCCAGCTAATTTTTTAAAAAATTAATTAATTAATTAATTTTTTTGAGATGGAGTCTCGTTCTGTTGCCCAGGCTGAAGTGCAGTGGTGCCATCTTGGCTCACTGCAAGCTCCGCCTCCCGGGTTCGTGCCATTCTCCCGCCTCAGCCTCCCAAGTAGCTGGGACTGCAGGCACCCGCCACCGCGCCCGGCTAATTTTTTGTGTTTTTTAGTAAAGACGGGGTTTCACCGTGTTAGCAGGATGGTCTCGATCTCCTGACCTTGTGATCCGCCCACCTTGGCCTCCCAAAGTGCTGGGATTATAGGCGTGATCTGCCCGCCTTGGCCTTGTGATCTGCCCGCCTTGGCCTCCCAAAGTGCTGAGATTACAGGCCTGAGCCACCACGCCTGGCTGCTAATTTTTGTATTTTTAGTAGAGACGGGGTTTCATCGTGTTGGCCAGGATGGTCTCAATCTCCTGACCTCGTGATCCGCCCGCCTTGGCCTCCCAAAGTGCTGGGATTATAGGCATGAGCCACCGCGCCCGGCCATCTGCAGTGTTAATAACGTATTAAACACACCATGCTTAAACTAAGGAATAGACTTGACACCTGGGTTAACTGCGGAAGGTCAGAGGAGACACTTCTTCCTGGGCCAGCCTTCACACTTTGCAGGGCTTGCCCAGAGGAGTTGGTGTAGGTTGGAGCCTGCAGCGCCGTCCCAGAGCAACCTCTGTGCAGTGCAGGTGCAGAGGGCAGGGCTGCAGCATCTTGGGCACATGCACTCTCTCCAGACCTCACTTTCCCCACCTGTGAATTGAAGGTGTTGAGTTTGCTCCCTGAGGTCATTCCTATGGCTCCTGGGCCTCTGAGGATCTGTCAGGCCCCAGAGCTGAGTTGGGGCCAGGCCACCTCCTTCCCCAGCTCTCTTGTCTCATGTTTGTGGGTGAGTGTTTGCACTGAGTCCCGGGGCAGCTGTGGAGCCACCTATTCTTTATTTCTTCACCCAGTGACCCTGGTCTGTGTGCTCACTGCCCAGGTGGCCATGCAGGCCCTGCTGGGGGCAGCGGGCCTGGCCTTATCAGAGCTACGTCGCAGAGGTGTTGACTCACGGCCTCACCCTGGCCCTGGGACGGGCCTGGCAGTGACTTCCTGCTCTGCAACTGCAGTCTCTCAGGCGTGTGCTGCGGGGATGTGGGCACGCAGGCCCGTGTGAGCTTTGGACCGTGAAGCCAGTAACCTTCCTGCAGGGCCAGGCTGAGCATACTATGTCCATCTCCCTGGGTGGACGTGCGGCTGCCTGTCCCTGAGGTGAGGTGCTCGGTCTCCTTCCCGCTGGTCTGGCTCCCAAGACCAGAACATGCGAGGACAACAGAGAACACAGAAGAGAGAGCAAAACAGACAGCGCCGCACGTCCCTCTGGTCTGTGGGTCTCCTCCTCAGGGCACAGGGCGGGGGCCGGCCACACCCCTTTTGTCGATGGTTTGACTGGGACACAGCCATGCTCGTGCGTCCTGTGCTGCTCAGAGAAGTAGAGCTGTGCCTTGCGACAGAGACCGGTGTTCCCAAAGCCTCACATGTACTACCTGGGCCTTTACAGAGTTTTCTTTTGTTTGCTGGCCCTTGATACAGGATGTTCTAAAAGAAATGATCCCTGCCTCCTAGAGTTTTCCTGTGACTGGGCAGACACCTGGGAGGGCGAGTGAGTTTCCCTGTCTGTGTAAATCACAGAAACCTGCACGGCAAGGCAGCGTCCGTGTTGGGTGGCACAAGGGGAACCTGAAGTTGTGGAGGACTTGGGATGTGGGCTTGTGGGAATGGCAGAGGGAGGAGTGGGCTTGTGGGCTTGTGGGTTGTGAGGTTGTGAGGTTGTGGGCTTGTGGGAATGGCAGAGGGAGGAGTGTGGTGCTGGCAGTACCTGGAGCTTCGAGTGGGGCCTGGCAGTGTCACCCCCATAGGCCGTGTGCTTGTGGGTGTGCCAGTGTGTGTGCGTGTGTGTATGTATGTGTGTGCATGAGATGAGTAGTGGGATCTGGCCACTGCCTCTGTGGCAGTGACCCCTGGGGGGCCTAGGAGCCCCCCTAGTGCATTCTCCTCGAGTGTGGGGTTGGTGTGCTGCGTGCAGACCGCGGTGGCTGGTGTGTCCACGGACCCTCTAACCCGGAACGTGCAGGAACGCGCAGCTCCTGAATTGGCTGCTGAGGCTGTTTTGTCAGGAGGTTACCTGGTGGCAGTGCAGGCCCACTTCAGAAGTGAGGGACTGGGAGGGGAGGTGGGCAGTGTCGTGTGGGGAGGGGTGTTGCTGCAGGGCCGCTTTCCTGTGACCTCCGGGCCTTCCCCTGACCGTCCCTCACTGCTGGCTTCTGCCCCCAGGCTGGCGCCCATGCGGCTCTACACGCTCTCCAAGCGCCACTTTGTCCTCGTGTTTGTCGTCTTCTTCATCTGCTTTGGCCTGACCATCTTCGTTGGGATCAGAGGTAAGGTTCGGTTTTTACTCATTGAATCTTTTGCCATGCGCGGTGGCCCTGGCGTATTGCTTTCGGTCAGCCCAGCTGTGCCCCTATCTTCCACTGCTAAGGGCCCCAGCGTGGAGGGAGAAGTGTCCACAGGGTGGATGGGGTCCCAGCCCTGCGCTTCTAGCTGCTCTGTCTCTTGTGGGGGAGGTGTGCAGTAAGTAGCCCCGAGTGACCCTGGCCATGCCCTGTGCAGCAGCCAGGGGCAGCCTTGACCACATGCCTTCATTGGCCAAGCAAACGTTTCTAATCTGCTGTGCACGAGACCCAGCTGGGCGCTGGTGTGTCCAGAACATGCTGCCTGGTTGGGGAGACAGGCCATGGAAGAGCTCTGATGCAGCTGATGGGGAGGGGAGGAGAGTGGGGGGCTGATGGCTGTGAGCATGGGGCGGGGTGGCTGTAGGAGCAGTGGGATCATCTAGGCCAATCCCCTTTCTCATGGATGGAGAACCTGAGAAGCCAAGTGGTTTTCACAAGGTTCCCAGAGACCCAGGTGTCTTCAGCCCCGTGCAGAGGGCAGGCAACCAGGAGCCTGACTTGTTTGGAGAGAATCTGTTCCTCCATTGCTTTGTTTCCCTCTTAAATAAAATATCTTTTTCCATAAGGGTGATTTCTGGTAGATATTATTTAATTGATTGACTTAATACTAAAGTGTGAATGGCAGTTAGGCTTAACCTGTCCCAGAGGCAATTTGTGCCTCAAAAGGTTAGTTTCTTACCCAAAACTGGGTTGGTAAATGGACGAGGAAGCTGGGGGAGAGTGCTGTTTATCTGATGGTGATGGTGATAATAGCAGCTGTAGCCAACTTCTTTTCTTTCCCGTTAAGTCATCAAGAAATAAAAATTACATTAATTACAGCACAAGATATATCCATGATCTTACTTGATTTTCACTGCTATCCTTTAAGATTGGTAGGGGAGGCATTAATATTCTCATGGTCTCCAGTCTCAGTGGGACCTCAGCCACCTTCTGTTATTTTAAGCCACTCTTCTGTCTCAAACGTCCATGATTATATCAAACCCTCTCCATTCTTGCAGAAATGAGAAATGTAAAGTGTGCACCAAGGCTGAGATACAAGTGATGTTCAGGATTTCTACATCCCCTTCTTTCTTTCCATACAGTACTCTATTAGTCAGAGTTGTCCAGAGAAACAGAATCAATACGAAATATCTACCTATCTGCCTGCCTGCCTGCCTGTCTATCCTGTCTGTCTGTCTGTCCTGCCTGTCTGTCTATTATAAGGAATTGGTACATGATTATGGAAGCTGAGAAGTCCAAAGGTCTGCAGTCAGCAAGTAAGAGGCCAGGAGAGCCCATGGTGTAGTTCCAGTCCAAGCCCAAAGGCATGAGAACTAGGAGAGCTGATGGAGTAAATTTCCAGCTGAGTCCAGGTCCGAGTCTGAAAGCAGGAGACCAGTGTCCCAGCTGGACACAGAGCAAATTCCCCCTTACTCAGCCAATTTGTTTTATTCAATGGATTGGATGAGGTCCACCCACATTGGAGAGAGCAATCTGCTTGACTCAGTCTACCGATTCACATGTTAATCTCATCCAGAAACGACCCACAGACACAATAGAATAATGTTTAACCAAATGTCTCAGCACCCTGTGGCCCAGTCATGTTGACACATAAAATTATCACAAGTACTCTGCTCCTGATTATTTTATGTGATAAGGTTATTACTATTTTAGAGTTAGGAGTACCTTAGGGACTATTGGCTTAGTAACTGTCATTTTGCAAATGAGGAAATCAAGACCCAGAAAGCCTTGTTAGTGAAGACTGGAGTCCAGATTCTTCTTTTTTTTTTGCCCAGGCTAGAGTGCAGTGGTGCAATCTTGGCTCACTGCAACCTCTTCCTCCCCAGTTCAAATGATTCTCCAGTAGCTGGGATTAGAGGCACCTGCCTCCACGCCTGGCTAATTTTTGTTGGTATTTTTAGTAGAGACAGGGTTTCACCATGTTGGCCAGGCTGGTCTCGAACTCCTGACCTCAGATGATCCGCCTGCCTCGACCTCCCAAAGTGCTGGGATTACAGGTGTGAGTCACCGCAGCCAGCCAAGTCTAGATTTTTCTGATTCCCAGTTCTTAATTCTTTCCAGGAAACTAGACTGCCTTACTTCCTGGGTTAGGTGTTCACTCAGATTGTGAATCTGTTTAAAAGGGACCTCATTGTGGACACAGGCCTCTTTCCTACATTTGATATATGCTTCCCAGCATTCCTAAATGCATTCCAGAGAAATGTTACTGCCTTGTATTTCCTCCTTTTGAGTGGAGGATTGTTGGCAGACAATCCTTCTGGGCATGGTCACTGAGGCAGCCCAGAAAAACTGATATCACCAGTTGATAGTGATACGTTTTGGAACAAATCTAGTTCTAAATTAAATTAAAATCAGATTCACGGTGTTTCCTTTGACTACTTCTTTTAAGGCCAAACTCTAAAGAAATGCATTGTAAGAATCTGTGAAGCTTGGAGAGGATTCTGGGAAGATGGTGGAGTAGGAATCGATGTCTTCTACTTAGCCAACAGCTGCAGTGGCAGAATCTGTATGGTGTAACTGTTCTGGAACTCCAGAGTCTGTTGAAGGCTTGCCACTTCGAAGGGAATGCTTGTACATTAGATGGTGGCTAATTTTGGTCAGCACAGCTCTTAGCACAGTAGCAGGTACCCATCTTCCACTGCAGGCCTATAGCAGGCGGCTAAATGTGTGTTCCTAGCGCTTATAGAAACCAAGGTGGGCAAAAAGGACCCTGTCCTCCAGATAGTAGGCATCTGTGCTCTGATCACTGATGCTGCTTCTGATTGCAGAAGTTTGACGAAGTAAGAATGGCTGCTGTTGTTGTACCTCCCTCAATTGTTGCAAGCCCCTCCCCCGCTGGCTAACGTTACTTCCAGGGGATTTAAAGGGCTGGCACTTTTTTACCCCTTCGTTTTTGCCTTTTTCCTTTCTCGGGAGTCAGACATAGAAGACCAGGACATTCAAAACTGCTAATACAGGGAAATTTAGAAAGTCACCACACCTGCCCAGAGGAAGGCACAGGCTCAGAGAAAACCTTAAGTTTAAACCTCAGGCTGATCCTTTGCACAGAGACAGTCTATAACAACAACAAAAACAAAAATTCAAAAATGAATAACAGCAAACTCTGAGGAAGGGGAGAGTCTGGTTTCCAGAGGTACATTATTAGATTTAAGTGTCCACTTTTAAACAAAAGGTCACAAGGCGGCCGGGCGTGGTGGCTCATGCCTGTAATCCCAGCACTTTGGGAGGCCGAGGTGGGTGGATCACGACGTCAGGAGATCGAGACCATCCTGGCTAACATGGTGAAACCCCATCTCTGCTAAAAATACAAAAAATTAGCCAGGCATGGTGGTGGGCACCTGTAGCCCCAGCTACTTGGGAGGCTGAGGCAGGAGAATGGTGTGAACCCGGGAGGTAGAGCTTGCAGTGAGCCGAGATTGCGCCACTGCACTCCAGCCTGGGCAATAGAGCAAGACTCCATCTCAAAAAAAAAAAAAAAAAAAAAGTCACAAGGCAAACAATGAAGTATGACCCATCGAAGGGAAAAAAATGAAGTGTCAGAATCTGTCTCTGAGTAAGACCATATGACAGATCTGTTAGGCAGAGACTTTAAAACAGCTGTCTTAAAGGTGCTGAGGCAACTAAAGGAAGAGACATGGAGACAGTCAAGAAAACAATGTATGAATAAAAAGATAGAAAACCTAAAAGGAAACCAAAAAGAAATTCTGGAGATGAAAAGTACGCTAGAGTGATTCAAAGGCAGATTTGAACAGGTAGAGGAAAGAATCAGTGAATCTGAAGATAGGACAGTGGAAATTTTTGAGCCTGAGGAACAGAAAAACAGAAGAAAAATGAACAGAGACTGAGGGACCTTTGGGACACTATCAAATGGACCAACATACACACTCTGGGAGTCTGAGAAGGAGAAGAGATAGAGAATGGGTCAGAGAATATTTCAAGCGGTGATGACTGAAAACTTCCCATATTTGGTGAATGTGAATATAAACATCCAAGAAGCTCAACAAACTCAAAGTAGGATGAACTGAAAGAGACCCACACCAAGATATAATCAAACTGTAGAAAGCCAAAGACAGAATCTTGAAAGCAGTAAGAGAGTGACTCATCACATACAAGGGATCCTCAGTAAGTTTGTCAGCAGATACCTCATCAGAAACTTTGGAGACCAGAAGTCAGTGGGCTGATACATTCAAAGTTCTAAAAGAAAACTGTTGGCCGGGTGCAGTGGCTCACCCCTGTAATCCCAGTACTTTGGGAGGCTGAGGCGGGTGGATCACCTGAGGTCGGGAGTTCAAGACCAGCCTGACCAAGGTGGAGAAACCCCATTTCTACTAAAAATACAAAATTAGCCAGGCGTGGTGGCACATGCCTGTAATCCTAGCTACTTGGGAGGCTGAGGCAGGAGAATCTCTTGAACCCGGGAGGTGGAGGTTGTGGTGAGCTGAGATCGCGCCATTGCACTCCAGCCTGGGCAACAAGAGCGAAACTCCATCTCAAAAAAAAGACAAAAAAACAAAGAACAAAACAAAACTGTCAGTCAAGAATCCTACGTGTAGCAAAACTGAGGGAGAAGTTAAGACATTCCCAGATAAAATTTGAGGAAGTTATTACTATTAGACCTGCCCTGCAAGTATTGCTGAAGTGAGTCCTGCAGGTTGAAATGAAAGGACACTAGACAGTAACTTGAAGCCATATGATTTCAGTAAAGGTAAATACTTGGGTAATTATAAAAGCTCATATTATTGTAACAATGGTGTATAACTCCATTTTTTTTGTTTTCAACGTTATTTGAAAGACACATTTTTAAAAAGCCAACTATTACTGTAAAATCTAGTATTATTATAACTTTGGTTTGTAACTCCACATTTTGTTTTCTACATAGTTTAAGAGACTAATGCATTAAAACTTATTTTATGTTTTTGGACACAATATATAAAGATAGGCTTTTGTCACAATTGTGACAGCAGTTGAAAGAGGCGGGGATGGAGCTGTTATAGGTGCAGAATTTTTACATATTGATGTTAAGCTGGTATAAATTTAGAGTGTTATAACTTTAGGATATTAAAAGAGGTACAAAAAGGCTATGAGACATACAGAGAACGAAGGCATATAGAAAGCAAAATGACAGAAGCAAGTTTCTCCTGAGCAGTAATTACTATAAATGTAAATAAACTCTCCAATTAAAAAGCAGAGGTTGGCAGAATGGATTTTAAAACACCATACTCCAACTATATACTGTCTACAGGAGACTCACTCTAGATCCAAAGACACAAATAGGTTGAAGTAGAAGGATGGAAAAGGTTATGCCATGCAAATAGCACCACATGATCCAGCAATTTCACTTCCGTGTATATACTCAAGAGATTTGAAAGCAGGGTCTTGGCCGGGCATGGTGGCTCATGCCTGTAATCCCAGCACTTTGGGAGGCTGAGGCGGGTGAATCACCTGAGGTTAGAAGTTCGATTCCAGCCTAACCAACATGGTGAAACCCCGTCTCTACTAAAAATACAAAAATTAGCGAGGTGTGGTGGTGCATGCCTGTAATCCCAGCTACTTGGGAGGCTGAGGCAGGAGAAACACTTGAACCCAGGAGGCGGAGGTTGCAGTGAGCCGAGATCACGCTATTGTACTCCAGCCTGGGCAACAACAATGAAACTCCGTCTCAAAATTAAAAAAAAAAAAAGCAGGGTCTTGATATTTGTACACCCATGTTCATAGCAGCATTATTCACAATAACAAACTGTGGAATCAACCACAGTATCCATTGACAGATAAATGGACAGAGGAATGAAATGTGGTGTACACATACAATGGAATATTTAGCCTTAAAAAGTAAGGAAGTTCGGCCGGGCGCAGTGGCTCACGCCTGTAATCCCAGCACTTTGGGAGGGAGAGGTGTGTGGATCACAAGGTCAGGAGTTCAA
This sequence comes from Homo sapiens, assembly GCF_000001405.40. Taxonomy (NCBI): domain Eukaryota; kingdom Metazoa; phylum Chordata; class Mammalia; order Primates; family Hominidae; genus Homo; species Homo sapiens. The sequence continues at coordinate 158,579,520 of NC_000006.12, forward strand.
GACCAGCCTGGCCAACATGATGAAACCCCATCTCTACTAAAATGCAAAAATTAGCCGAGCATGGTGGTAAGCACCTGTAATCCCAGCTACTTGGGAGGCTGAGGCAGGAGAATCGCTTGAACCTGGGAGGCAGAGGTTGCAGTGAGCCGAGATCCTGCCATTGCAGTCCAGCCTGGGCAACAAGAGTGAAACGCTGTCTCAAAAAACAAACAAACAAAAAACAAAAATAAGGAAATTCATACAGAAGCTATAATATGGATGAATTTTGAGGACATTATACTAAGTAAAATAAGCCATTGGAAAAAAGATAAATACTATAAGATTCACTTATATGGGGTACTTAGAGTAGTTAAAATCATCAAGACAGAAAGTAGAGTGGTGGCAGCCAGGGGCTGGGGGAAGGGAATGGGGAATTGTTTGATAGGCACAGTGTTTCAGTTTTGAATTGTGGAGATGGATGGCAGTGATGGTTGCACAGTATGAACGTATTTACTACCACTGAACTGTATGCTTAAAAATGGTTAAGACGGGCATGGCGCAGTGGCTCACGCCTGTAATCCCGGCACTTTGGGAGGCTGAGGTGGGCGGATCTCCTGAGGTCAGGAGTTCGAGACCAGCCTGACCAACATGGTGAAACCCTGTCTCTACTAAAAATAAAAAATTAGCCGGGCGTGGTGGCGCATGCCTGTAATCCCAGTTACTCGGGAGGCTGAGGCAGGAGAAGTGCTTGAACCTGGGAGGTGGAGGTGGTGGTGAGCTGAGACTGCGCTATTGCACTCCAGCCTGGGCAACAAGAACAAAAAGAAAAAAAATAGTTAAGATGTCAAGTTCTTGGATCTGTAGGAAAAAAAATGGTTAAGATGGCAAATCTTATGTATATTTTGTCACAGTAAAAATTGGAAAAAAAACTATGAGGTTCGTATACCTATTAGTTAAAACTTTATGCTTTCCTGCTTATATTAGCATATATTATGTTTATAGCCCTTAATAAGTATTTTTGGAAGACGGGATTAATTGGATGAGCAGATAAGTGTGTCTTAGGTTTTGGAAGAAATCTTTATATTTTACAGAATATATAAGACAGAGTCTCTATAGTTAATGCCTTCTTGGGCCCATGCATGTAGAGAGTGCTCTCATTGAGAGCCTAGCAGGGTGTTTCCTGTGGAAACCCTCTGTGTTGTATGCCAGTCATGCTGGTTGACTTGTGTTGGGAAGTCGTGAAGCACAGCAGAGTGGATATTCTGTGTCTGTGTTTGTGTGTTTATATCTTCTACTTACACATTGTATAATCTCTAAAGAAAAACCAGGTGAATTAAGGTCATCTCCGTGTAATGTGTGAGTCTTTCTTGGAATTTGGAAAAAAATACTAAATTATCAATATTGCTATAATCTGCTTTTGTCCTTTTCTGTTACACTTTAGGACCTAAAGTGATCCAGACTTCTGCGGCTAATTTTTCACTAAATAATAGCAAAAAGGTAAGACTGGGTCTGAGTGGCAGCTGGGTGGTGGGGTGCATTATAAACCTCAGGTCACTGAGAAATGGTTCCGCTTAGAGTCTTTAAGGTAGCCTTCCCTTGCCTTGCGGCTTCTCAGGCAACACATTTCTTCTTCCATTGTCAGCTGCTGGCATCTGGGTTCTTGTTTGCTAAAGTCACCATTTCTGCTGTAATAAACACCTCAGTACTTAGGAAGATGGTGGTGTTACCTCTTAGGGAGCAGTTGTTCATTTCCAAAGAGTGGCTAACTCATCCTGATTCCTTGCCTCTGTAAGTCCTATCAGATTGTAATTTTTAATAATGATACCACTTAGGTGTCTCATCTTATATTTGCCCAGGTTAAGAATTGGCCTCTGTCAGATTTCTAATGGTACATTTCTTTCTAATGATTACTTTGTATTCCTTGTGTGAACTCAATTTAAATGAAAAATCCTTTAAAAAATACACCTTAACTTGGCCAGGTGAGGTGGCTCATGCCTGTAATCCCAGCACTTTGGGAAGCTGAGGTGAGCTGATCACGAGGTCAAGAGATTGAGACCATCCTGGCTAACATGGTGAAACCCCATCTCTACTGAAAATACAAAAAAATTAGCTGGGCGTGGTGGGGGGGCGCCTGTAGTCCCAGCTACTCGGGAGGCTGAAGCAGGAGAATGGTGTGAACCCGGGCGGGGGAGCTTGCCGTCAGCCAAGATCGTGCCAATGCATCCAGCCTGGGTGACAGAGTGAGACTCTGTCTCAAAAAAAAAAAAAAAAAAAAAGCCTTAACTTTTTTACCACCTTTAGAGAAAAACAGAGCTTCTTTCAATTGGAGAATTTTGGTTTCCTTGAATAAATACTAACCTGTGAGAGCCCAGACAACTAAACCTTTTTTTGTGTGTGAAACATAACTTTACCTATAAACTGAACACAGTTGCCCTGTATCTTCGAGGCACCATGATATATATAGTTTAAATCTGATTGTATGACCCCAAATCCCCCTTCTCTCTGTTCTCACACTTCCCTGCTAGTTTTCTACCCTTATAATTTTGCAAAAAGTCAAAAGAAGAAAAAGTACTAAAACTTACACCATTTGATTTTTCTCTTTGCTACTGCTAGTTTGAAAGGGCCCTCTGCATAGCCTGTTTTCACATTTCCTTTGCATTGCTTTATTTTCTTTCACTGTTGGCGTGATGATCTGATTTGAGGAGGTGCCGCCGTGGGCTTTCCTGATAGTAGTTCATCTTTTACAGTTTCTGTCTCTCAGGGTGTGAGTCTCTCTTTGACACTGAACACAGCAGCCATTCCACTGAACTGACTTGCTTCCAAGAGACCATCCTCACTTCACTAAGACAGTAGCTCATTCCTGGAGAGATTTCCTGCCTTGATGGTTTTTAGGCAAATCTTTAGTCCTAGGGAGTTTTATTGAGACCCTGACAGAAGTATTAAGACACAAAAACACATTCACTTGAGACTAGCCTGGGCAGCATAGGGAGACTGTGTCTCTACAACAAATTTAAAAATAAGCTGGGTGTGGTGGGGCATACCTGTAGTCCCAGCTACTTGGGAGGCTGAGGTGGGAGGATCTCTTGATCCTGAGAGGTTGATGCTGCGGTAAGCCATGATTGCACCACTACACTCCAGCCCTGGGTGACAGAGCACGACCCTGTCTTAAAAAAGAAAAAAAAAGAAAAAACCCATTCACCTCCAAAGACGATGCATTCAGATAATGCTTTTCTTTGGAACCATGGGTGGGCTGCTTCAGTAACTCTCTCTGTGGCCTGCTGCTATTAAACACCAGTATTACGTCTTTCAAAAGATACTGCAGAAGAATCACTGGCAACATCATCACCTCTAATTTTTCTCCCCAGGGGTGTTAAGATTTTCTTTCAGAAGGCTAAAAATAGCAGACGTCAAAGAGCAATTTGCCTGGCATATGGATACTTCAGAAATAATTCTTGGCCGGGCGCAGTGGCTCATGCTTGTAATCCCAGCACTTTGGGAGGCCGAGGTGGGCTGATCATGAGATCAGGACTTCAAGACCAGTCTGGCCAACACGGTGAAACTCCATCTCTACTAGAAATAGAAAAATTAGCTGGGTGTGGTGGCAGGTGCCTGTAATCCCAGCTATTTGGGAGGCTGAGGCAGGAGAATCACTTGAACCTGGGAGGCAGAGGTTGCAGTGAGCCGAGATCACGCCCCTGCTCTCCAGCCTGGGTGACAGAGCTAGACTCCCGTCTCAAAAAATAATAATTCTTGAGATATATTATCTTGTAAATATGAAAGCATTCCTTTGGTATTCTTTATTGTCTTAGTATGTATCTCATCATTCTGCTCATTTTATTCTTTTTCCAAGATGGTTTTTTTCTTGATATTTAAGTAAGTGTATTGTCCCCAAGGGTCCCAGTGTGAAAAATGTCTGCTTAGAGATTTCTGTGAGAGACAGACGTGAATTGCTGCTGGAAGTTAGTCGTTTCTTCTTCTGAAAGGCAAAATGTCACTTATGTTCTTGAAAGGAAAACCTCATGGCCGGGCGCAGTGGCTAATGCCTGTAACCTAGCGCTTTAGGAGGCCGAGGTGGGCGGATCACCAGGTCAGGAGATCGAGACCATCCTGGCTAACACGGTGAAACTCCGTCTGTACTAGAAATACAAAAAATTAGCTGGACGTGGTGGCGGGCGCCTGTAGTCCCAGCTACTCGGGAGGCTGAGGCAGGAGAATGGCGTGAACCCAGGAGGCAGAGCTTGTAGTGAGCCGAGATCGCGCCACTGCACTCTAGCCTAGGCGACAGAGTGAGACTCCATCAAAATAAAAAAAAGAAGGAAAACCTCACATATTTCTGTTTCAAAGCTAACACTGAAGCCTTTATTGCTAAAAGTAAACTTTGTGTGTTAAAACGATGAGGTATTTGGTAGACTCAATGAAAAGGTCACATGGATTACTTTGTTTTTTTTTCTTCAGCTAAAGCCAATTCAAATACTTTCAAATCCACTGTCTACATACAATCAGCAACTATGGCTGACATGTGTTGTTGAGTTGGATCAATCAAAAGGTATGGAGCTTGACATTTTGGAATGATTTTTCATTATACGAAGAAACATCGTATTTTAGATGTTGACTTCAGAATATTCAGACAAGCAAGTGCTCAAAGATAGATGTATAAGGATGTCCATTATTATTTATCATAGCAACAAATTGGAAACCCCTTAAATGTCTTCCAGTGGGAGAGAAAGTTGCGATAGATAGACGTCCTCCGTGGAGTCCTGGTTAGCTCCGCTCAGTGGCTGCATGGTGTCGGCGCTACAGCTGCCAGCCTTTTTCAGTGAGGATCTGGGAGAGAATTAAGACCTGATGCCCTAAAATAATGGTTCTGGCCCCCAGGGACACTTGCCAATGTCTTGAGACAATTTCGTCACACACGGAGAGGAGGAGGGAGTGCTCCAGGCATCTAGTGGGTAGAGGGCAGAGGTGCCGACACCTCCCCCACTTTCACAACAAGGAATTATCTGGCCCAAAATGTCAGTGATGCAGAGGCTGAGAAACCCTCCCCTAATGCATCCATTGTTTATGATGAATTAGCTTCTGTCAGTCTACAGTGGCACTAGTTTTGTATCATCCTAGGGAGAATTGAGAAGATAACCAAATCCTTTTCTGTTCTGTGCCTCACATGAGACACTCTGGTTGAGAAAGAATTTGAAAAGATAACCCCATGACCACAGTAAATGAAGTGAAACAAATATATATTACGAAAAAATTATCCCCTCTTTGTAACATTTTAGAAAGCAAAAAATTCATATTACTACGTATTTGTCTAGAAAATGGTCTGGAAGGATAGACATGAAATATGAATTACGATTATCTCTAGGTGAAATTCTCAGTATTTAATGCTATCTTTATATTTTATGATTTTTTTAAAATGAGAATATAATGAGAAAAACCTATAATCAGAAGAAATAAGAAATCTATTTCTATTTTTGGTATAGAATTTGGTAAGTTAAAAATGTATGTGAGAAATTAAAAATATAAGTTCATTAGCCATGAAATATTTACCCTTTTTTTGTGTGTGAAGTGAAACTGATGGGTCTGAAGTGCAGGTTTTGACATAGACCCCCTGGGTGCTGGGTTGGAATCTAATGGAAAGGCTTTTACTTTGCTGGGCAATTAAGAGATTTTCAAATGTGCTGAGGCCAATGTGGCCTAAGGACCTTAAGCGTTTTCCTGGCTCCAAGGTCATTACAGAGCCAGGAAGGCACCTTTGTAGGTGTGATGTGCCTGGCATGGTCTCTAACACTGAATTTTTTTCTTTTGTAGAAACTTCTATTAAGACAAGCTTTCCCATGACTGTTAAAGTCGATGGTGTAGCTCAAGATGGAACCACGATGTACATTCATAACAAAGTTCACAACCGGACAAGGACCCTCACATGTGCAGGGGTGAGTGTGTGGGGTGAGCCCCACAGTCAGTCCTCAGGCTGTGTACACGTTTAATTACAGAGCCACTTTCCAGTCTAAAAGATAGCATGGTAAGAGGCTTCGAGAAATTGTTCTTAAGTGAAAAAAATGGAGTCATACCAAAGATGGCATGAAAAAACTTACTTATTTTTACAGTTGGATACCCTTAAAAATTCTTATAAACGTACACATGCATTCACACATCCGTAAACACACGTGTACGCACATATGCATGCACACACATATACTGCTAGCCACCCTGAGCATACACGGTACTTGTTTTTACTGTGTGTGTGACCTTCTGCCCAGTGTGTCCCTAATGAATGTTATGGGCTGCCTCCTCATACGAACGTCTGCCACAGGCTGTGGTCACTGGGTTTTTTTGTTTTATTTTGTTTAGAGACAGGTTTTTGCTCTGTCAACCAGGCTGGAGTGCAGTGGCACAATCACAGCTCACTGCAGCCTCAAACTCCTGGGCTCAAGCAATTCTCCTGCCTTAACTTCCCAAGTAACTGGGACTGCAAGCGTATGCTACCAGGGCTGACTAATTTTCCATGGTCACTCTTGACTGAGGCTTTGGGTTGTTCCCAGCCGAGTGATGCATGCCCTAATCCGTCTGTGTGAAGCCAAGTACCTGGGCCTCTTGGGCGTCAGGGGCCTACCTTTTTGAGCATCTACTTCAGAGCACAGTGTGGCTAAGGGATAGGAAACCTGGGTCCACAGTGGGGAATGAGCCCTCACGCTTGATTTCATTGGCACTGTATTCTGTTCAGAGTCCAAAGAATCAGAACCAGATCCCTGCTAGAGCGAGGAGTCCACCTCAGGCACAACAGGTTACTGGCAGCGTGGAGAACTTGGAGAGCATCAAAACAGGGCAGTGCATTTTCTTATAGGATTAGGAAAGTAATGTCAGAAGCCAGATGGCAAGTAGTTTCTCTGCTGGGTGTCATGCCAAGTACCGTCCACTCATTGTCTCATTCAGTCCTCATGGCAAGTCCATGAAGTAGAAACTACTGTTAGAGCCTATTTTGTAGAAGAAGAAACTGAGGCTTAGAGAGGTCTAAACCATTGCCCAAGGTAACGCAGATATTAAGTGGAGGGCCCAGGATTTAAACCTGTGCCCTTTTATTCTGAAGCTTGTGGCCTTAACCACCATGGATACTGCCTAGTTACTAGTGATACATATACTGGCACTGTTTTTCCTAGCAAGAAAGAATTCAAGGGCTAGGCGCAGTGGCTCATGCCTGTAATCCCAGCACTTTGGGAGGGTAGGGTGGGAGGATCACGTGGGACTGGCCTCTCATTCTGCTTCCAGGGGATGAGTCAGCTTCCAAAGTGTATTTTCCCCATCTATAAAGTTGGGATCAAGCCTTCCCTGCCTGCCTTAGGAAAGCAGTAAAGATCAAGGTGAATAACGTGTGAGTGTGCCTTATGTGTGCAGCCTGAGGCATCCCTGCGTCCCCCAGTGAGGCCTGTGTGCGGGAGGGGTGCGATCAGTACTGCTGAAGGGATAACAGGTGTGAGTGTCAGACAGGACCATGGCCCAAGAATCTGCTCTCTTCCTATCCGAGCGCCTGGTGGCCACTCCCACCTGGACAGCTTGATGACACCCACCTCTCAGATTGAGGCTCAATGGACCATTAGTCAGGGGTTGCTTATTTGGAGCTGTTGAGACCCATCGTCCTGGTTTGCTTGCACTGAGTGGTTGCTCAGCACACAGGACTTTGTTTTAAAATCGGGACAAGTGGGTTGCCCTACCTAAAGCCTTTGCTTCAAGCAGGGCCAGGCTGCCAGGGTACTGGCTGGTCTGCACTGTTCCTTCTTGGATGTGCCCGCCGTGCTGTGCATCTTGAGAATGGCCCTTCAGCGCATCTTCATGGTTTCTTCCCGCTTCCGTTGTTGGCCCTACCTCATTTTACACTGTGTTACCCCTTGGGAATATCTTGCTTCTGTTCCTTGTCTACGCAGGTCTCTAACCCTGCAAGGAGCATTGCCCTGGCTTTAAAAAACATGGAATTTTTACATTACAGAGATATTTACCACCCTCTTATATTACTTTTTTTTTTTTTAAACACACAGTCTTGCTATGTTGCCCAGGCTGGCTTTGAACTCCTGGGCTCAAGCAATCCTCCTGCTTCAGCCTCCCAAGTAGCTAGGATGACAGGTGTGCACCACCGTGCCTGGCTTCCTTTTTTTTTTTTTTTCTACTGTAAAGAAAAGCCATTGTCTGACTTAGGTAGCAAGGCTTTCCACGCCTTGCAGGTGGGAAAGCTGAGGTACCATCACGTGATTTTCAGAGGTACATCATTGTCAGCAGCAGAACCGTGGTTTGAACTTGGGATGCCGGAACCGCTGGTGTAGTTTTTTTAAACTCGTAAGTATATGCAGCCTGAGATACAGCTCTTTTGTTAATTAAAACATCCCTGAAAAGTGAGACAAATTCTTAAACTCGCAAGAGATGTTTGTCTACCCAGCAAAAATGTATTTACAGATTTTAAGCCATCCCTTCCTGTATAGTCCTTAGCCACCCCTGCCTTTGCGCATCATCCTGTGACCCGACTGCCAGAGGGGAAAGGTGAATTTAGTTTTGTCGAGAAGGTGGACCACACACTTAAAGCCCAGAGGGCAGGCAGCAGATTGCAATGAGAGCTGATCAGGTGGAAAGGAAGCCTTGGCTTCCCTTTCCAATGTGATGAAAATAGCAGATGACCTGTGCTTCCGGCATAGGAGAATGGGAGGTGGGCGGGTGGCCAGCCAGAGGGCTTTTAGCCCCTTTGCAGGGCAGCCCCTCCCTGCGGAGCACTGTGGGCTTCAGTGCAGACCCAGGGCTGCTAGTGGGCTGAAGTGTTTGGTGAGTTGAGATGGTGACCTTGGTGCTGCCTTCAGCCCCCTGCACACTCCCCTCCTCTCTGCTTTCTCCCCCTTGCCTTAGGTCAGCACCCCACTGTGTTAACCCCACTCCTTGTCCGCCTCCCTGACAGTTGCCCTCTTGTCTTTTTGTTTGTTTTTGTTTGTTTGTTTTTGAGACGGAGCTTTGCTCTTGTTGCCCAGGCTGGAGTGCAATGGCGTGATCTTGGCCCACTGCAACCTCCACCTCCCAGGTTCAAGGGATTCTCCTGCCTCAGCCTCCTGAGTAGCTGGGATTACAGGCGCCTGCCACCACACCCGGCTGATTTTTGGTACTTTTAGTGGAGATGGGGTTTCACTATGTTGGCCAAGCTGGTCTTGAACTAGCCTCAAGTGATCCGCCTGCCTTGGCCTCCCAAAGTGCTGGGATTACAGGCGTGAGCCACCACGCCCAGCCACCTTCTTGTCTTTTTTAAGCCTGCTGTGTAAAACCCACACCTGTTTTCTTACCTGACCTCAGACATTCGAGGCTTGACCAGTCATTGGAGCGATGCCCTATTAGAAAGCCAGAGAACCACCCGTTTGCTCTGGGCAGCAGCAGGATGGTGGAGAGTGACATTCCGAAAGGCAGGGCCGGGGCAGAGCTTGCTGGGGAGGAGTGGCTGGCTCTGTGTGCATGGCTGGTGGGTGCACCTCTGTATCCCTGCATGAGGGTTTGTCCTCCCTGCCACTCCGGAAGGGGATAACAAAGCAGAAGAGACCTGGCTTTTAATTCTAAAGGACAAAAGGAAGGGCTCTTGTCAACAGTGGAGCACACGTATCCTCACATCTGCACTTGGTGCTGTGCACACAGCCTTTGCTTTGACTCGGAGTGGAGGGTGGAGAGAGCAGGATGGAGAGGAAAGAGGGCTCCATGTAGAGAGTGACAGGTTAAAAGGAGAGAAAGAAGAATGTGTAATTCACTCTGTTCATTATTATAACAATCGCAAAATTGGGCCAGGGAGGACAAATTAGGCCGCGGCATCTGCATTGACGTGTCTTAGCTTACGTTTCCCCTGTGCTCTAGTGTTATATATTTATGGAAATGTCAGGCTTGCGTTGCACTGTTAACTTTCTTACACGGTGACTTATTTTCAGTCATCCAAAGTAGAAAGATTCTAATTGGTGTAAATCATATATTATGTTTCCAAAAATACCCATTTGGTTCATTCTTTCTAGGAACTGTGTTTGGCTGGCATCTGACTTTCTCTGGGCTTTTGGCGAGTTCCCTGGAGACAATGAGTTCTGCCCATCTGCTGTTGAAACGTGTTACTTCATGGGTTATTTGGCGGGAGCGTGAGTCTCGCTTTCTTTAAAGGCAAATCTTTCTGTGTATTTGCAGAAATGTGCGGAGATTATTGTGGCTCACCTTGGCTACCTGAACTACACTCAGTATACAGTGATAGTGGGATTTGAACACCTGAAGCTCCCCATCAAGGGAATGAACTTCACAGTAAGTATACCAGCTGACTGCACGTTTCCATGGCTCATGTTCTAGTTCCCATTCTTTGTTCAATGATTGAAATACATCTCAGCATCTAAATAATGTTAATTTGGACAGTGGAGGACTTGTAAAGTTTTTAAAAATTATAGGAAAACTACAGTTTCTTAAGTATATAGAACTAAGAATAGCTTAAATATCATAGAGATTGGGCAAACCTTAGGTGTCTGAGATTTAGAATAGAGAGTATATAGTGTGTTCAGCTGCAAGGCAGTGAAGGGGTTAGCAGACACAGCACCCCCTTCTCTGGCCCCTGTGAGTGGTCGTCAGTCTCTGCCCGAACTGCCGGTGAGTGGGAGGGCACTGTTCTAATTGTTAGACTGTCCTTTCTTGTGTCCAGCTGAAATCTCCCCTTTCCACTCATTAGGAGTCAGTATAACCAGCATAGTGATGAGGAGTGGGGGTTTAGACTGGACGGTGAGCTGGGTTCTCACGCTGCCTCCATCATTGACTCACGTGATTTTGTTGAGCCTCAGTTTTCTTATCTGTAAAATAGCTGCCTCATAGAGCTGTGAATATTAAATGAAGATACTAATGGATACCTTCAAAAAAAAAACAGCTTTATCAAAGTAGAAAGTTTGCTTGCCCTTTTAATGAAAGCGTACGTTCAGTGGTTTTTTTTTGTTTTGTTTTGTTTTTGTTTTTGAGACAGAGACTCACTCTGTCACCAGGCTGGAGTGTGGAGTGCAGTGGCACGATCTCGGCTCACTGCAACCTCCGCCTCCCGGGTTCAAGCAATTCTCCTGCCTCAGCCTCCCAAGTAGCTGGGATTACAAGTGTGTGCCACCATGCCCAGCTAATTTTTGTATTTTTAGTAGAGACAGAGTTTCACCATGTTGGCCAGGATGGTCTTGATCTCCTGACCTGGTGATCCGCCCACCTTGGCCTCCCAAAGTGCTGGGATTGCAGGCGTGAGCCACCGCGCCCGGCCCATTCAGTGGTTTTTAGCACAGTCGTGGAGCTGTCCAGTCATTCTGTTCCAGAACATTTTCATTGCCCCTTAAAGAAACCTGTTAGTGATCATTTCCCATTCCCTCCCCCACAGTCCTTGGCAATCACTAACGTTCTCTCTGTCCCCGTGGATTTGCCTGGTCTGGACATTTCGTGTGAATGGAGTCACACAACGTGTGGTCTTCGGTGACTGTCTGCTTTCACTTAGCGTGATGTCTCAAGGTCCATCCAGGTTGTCGCGGGATCAGTACTTCACTCCTTCATTTTGCTAAGTGATATTTTGTTGTATTGCTAGACCACATTTTGTTAATCCCTTCATCAGGTGACAGGCGTTTGGGTTGTTTCCATTTTTTTGGCTGTTGTGAACTACACAAAATGAGTTTTTTTCTCTGTCTACCCTATAGCCCTTTGCAGGCGGCCGTCTCCTCCCCTCTGAGATTGTTCTTTTCTTTCACGTTGTGCTGGGGATGTGACCTCTGCACCCCTCTGGCTCCATGTTTCCTTCCTGAAGCTGCCCCAGTCACCCAGCTGCAGGGGCAGGTGTTGCTGATGTGGAAGGAGCAGGTGGCCCTGGGCTGTGCTGCTGGGACAGCTGAGCCGGCTCTCTCGGGAGCCACGTCACTAGTGGTCTCTTCCTTTCAGCCCTTTGCCTCAGCCAGCCTTTCCAGATCTTTTGGATCTGAATCTGGGGTCTGGTCTTTGCTGTCTGAATGATCTCCTGGATCTTAGTCTTCAGAGAATCCGATTAGTATTCTGCTTGTGTCCTCCATTCATGGTGCAGTGGGGGATTCCAGATGGGGTCTGAGGCAGGTGCACTGAGCTTAGGCATACTTTGATGTAGTCCTTTGTTAATCATCTGTGCTTTAGACTTTGCTATTTCAGAATCATTCTGATTCAACAGTGCAGACAAACAAGGGACCTCTCCCTTTCATCATCTTCTTTATTAGAACATCATCTCCTACAAGCCTTTTATGGTTCTCAGCACCTTTCTCCAGAAGCTGTAGTTCATCCTGACCCTGTTCTATGGGTGTGGGCCGCTGTTTTGTCTTTATGGTTTTTGTCCTTCCATCTTTTGTATCTATGTTTCCTCTTAAAGTTGTTCCTGAAGAATTTGGTACATATGTTAGGTGAACTAGGTACATGCCATTCTGCCATTGCTGATGGAAGGCAAGTGATACAGTGTTACTGTGGGGCTCAAAAAGGAATTGGTTCAAAAGACGTTACCATGGGAACCACTCACCTTGAATTACACCACAGCCAGAGCCTCATTTCTGGTGGCACTCTTCAGCATCTGGAAAGACAGCCCTTGAGACCCTTGGGATTTGTAAGGGATGTCACCAAAGATTTTTCTGCGTTTTTTGTACATTTCGTTTCCCCAGCAGCCAGCATAGGGCCCAGCAGCTGCTAGGCTTGCAATAGATATGTATTGGTTGAATGAAAGAACAGCAGTACAGCACCTTACAAATTTAGAAATTCACGTGGCAACAGACTTCTGAAATTATGTTCATCCTTGCTTTAAACCAAAGATTAGAGAGTTCAAGAATGAATGTCTTTTTTCAACCAATCAATTTTCATAGATTGGGCCGGGGGCAGTAGCTTATGCCTGTAATCCCAGCACTTTGGAAAGTGAATGTAGTAGGATTGCTTGAGCCCAGGAGTTCGAGACCAGCCTGGACAACATAATGAGACCCCATCTTTTTTTTTTTTCTGAAACGGAGTCTCACTGTGTTGCCCAGGCTGGAGTGCAGTGGCGCGATCACGGCTTACTGTAACATCTGCCTCCCGGGTTCAGGCAATTCTCCTGCCTTAGCCTCCCTAGTAGCTGGGATTACAGCTACTAATAGCTGTAGTAGTTCACCACGCCCTGCTAATTTTCATATATTTAGTAGAGATGGGGTTTTACCACGTTGGCCAGGCTAGTTTCAAACTCCTGAACTCAGGTAATCGGCCTAGCTGAGACCCCCATCTCTAAACAAAAGTTTAAAACTTAGCCATGCATGGTGGTGCACACCTGTAGTCCCAGCTACTAGGTAGGCTTAGGCAGGAGGATCACTTGAGCCTGGGAGTTTGAGGCTGCAATGAGCTGTAATCACACCACTGCACACTCCAGCCTGGGTGACAGAGTGAGACCCTGTCTAAAAAAAATGCAAATATTAAAAACAACAAATAAGATAATATCCAGGGTTGGCGAAATGCAAGGACACAAGTTTTCTCATACACATGAGTGGGGGGGTGTGAACTGATTTAACTTTTGGGGTAATTTAGCAATGTATAAAAGCCTCTACTTCCATGTTCTTTTTGACTTAGTAATTCTAATTTTAGAAATTTATACTCAGGAAGTAGAAACATACACAGTGATTTATGTTCAAACCTATTCCTCAGAGTAAGAAGTTGGGAGCGATCTGTATTTCAGCAGTAGATTTCTGGTTAAATAAATTAGTTCTGTAGCTACTAAAATAATAAGTTAATAGGATAGCTAGCACAAACTATATATACTGATTTAAGACAAGAAAAGCACGTGAATTAGAAGTGTTTCTATTATAGAAAACTAGACGTCTAGAAGGCTGTCTCTGGGTGGTGGGATTAATGTTTAATTTCTTCTGTGTTTTCCTTTATTTCCCGTAATGAATGTTTATTATTTTTATTACCTGAAAAGAAAATTATTTGAAAACAAAACAAAAACTCCTGAGGCAACTAATATTTGAAGGGGGAAGTCCTGGGCATATGCCAGTATCCATCCCAGAACCTCAGGTGCTGGCAAGCCCTGCATGCTGTTTCTTCTGGTCTGACTCAGTATCCTCGGAGAATCGCATAATCAACATTGTGCTGGCAGCTTGTAGAGAGATGCACTAAGAAATTAGAGAACTGTATGCAAAGTGTTTGTATGTCTTTTATAAAATTGCTGTTGAAGACATTGTGTTGTGAACTTTAAACCTCCAAATATAATTCTTTTTTTTCCCACATTATTACTATTTTTTAGAGCAATTTTAGTTTCACAGCAAAATTGAGAGGAAGGTACAGAGAGTTCCTAAATGCTCTCTCCGCCCACACATGCACAGCCTCCCCCATTGTCAGCATCTCGCACCAAAGTGGTACATTTGTTACAGTTAATGAACCCACATTGACACACCACCCAGAGCCCACAGTTTACATTAGAATTCCCTCTTGGTGTTGTACATTCTGTAGGATCCACTATTTGTAGTACCGTAGAGTTCATTTCAGTGCCCTGAAAATCCTTTGTGCTTCACCTGTTCATCCCTCCCTCCTCCTCACACCCCTGGCAACCACTTGTCTTTTTACTATTTCCATGGTTTTGCCTTTTTTTTTTTTTTTTTTTTTCTGAGACAGAGTCTGTTGCCCAGGCTGGAGTGCAGTGGTGAGATCTCAGCTCACTGCAACCTCCGCCTCCCAGGTTCAAGTGATTCTCATACCTTAGCCTCCTGGGTAGCTGGGATTACAGGTGCGCACCACTATGCGTGGCTAATTTTTGTATTTTTAGTAGAGACGGGGTTTCACCATGTTGGCCAGGCTGGTCTCGAACTCCTGACCTCTGGTGATCCGCCTGCCTCGGCCTCCGAAAGTGCTGGGATTACATGCGTGAGCCACTGTGCCAGGCCATGGTTTTGCTTTTTCCAGAATGTCATCTAGTTGGAATCATATAGTATGTAATTTTTTCAGATTGACTTATTTCACTAAGTTATATGCATTTTAAGTTTTCTCTATGGCTTGATTGCTCATTTCTTTTTATCATGGAATAATATTTCATTGTCTGGATGTACTGCAGCTTGTTTGTCCATTGGCTGAAGGACAACATCTTGGTTGTTTTTAAGTTTTGACAATTATGAACATAGCTACTATAAACATCTGTATACAAGTTTTTGTGTGGACATAAGTTCTCAACTTCTTTTTTGTTGTTGTTCTTTTGAAATGGAGTTTCATTCTTGTTGCCCAGGCTGAGTGCAATGGCACAATCTCAGCTCACTGCAACCTCTGCCTCCTGGGTTCAAGCGATTCTCCTGCCTCAGCCTCCTGAGTAGCTGGGATTACAGATGCCCATCACCATGCCCGGATACTTTTTGTATTTTTAGTAGAGACGAGGTTTCACCATGTTGCCAGGCTGGTCTCGAACTCCTGACCTCAGGTTATCCAGCCTCTCAAAGTGCTGGGATTACAGGCATGAGCCACCATGCCTGGCCCCTACGTTTTCAACTTCTTTGGGTAAATATCAAAAAGCAAAAACAGAATTTCTTTGGCTATTTGTTATAATGCCTTTTCTTAGAGAGTGAAAGCCATGGGATGCATTGCATTTTTCTCTTGGTACTGGCTGTCAGATATTTCAGAAATCAGTTTTTTGCTGAATTGTACTAATTACTAACATCCTGGTATGGATTTCTGGTATAATTATCTGCATTCTTTCTTCACTATTTTGCCTTTTAAAACACTTTAAAAATTATTTCTATCTAATCTGGCTTTTTATTATAAGCTGCTTTCATTTCTTTTTGGAAGTAAACAAGCTATAATGAATAGATAGACGCTAATGGTATTTTAGTGGTGTTACTGCACACCCACCAGAATGGCAGAAATAAGACAGAATATGCTGAAGCTGGCAAGGATGTGGGGCAGGCAGAGCCCTTGCCCCCTGCTGGGGAGCGTGTAAATTGATACAGCAGTAATGCATACGTATATTGACCAAAAGACTTGTATTTAGATATTCACAGCAGCGCAATTCTTAATAGCCAAACTGTAAACTGTATACTAGCAGCAAAATGAGTGCATAAATTCTGCTATATTCATATAATGGAATACTATATAGCGAGGAGAATGAACCTTCATAGCTTCATGTAATGTCATGGAGGACTTTCTGAAGCATAATGTTGAATGAAATAAGCCAAATACGAAACAGTACGGAGTGTATGATTCCATTTATATAAATTACAAAGACAGGCAAAATGAACCTGTGCTGTTGAATCAGGGTTAGTGTTCCTCTGGGGTAGGTTAGTGGCTGGAAGGGAGCATCAAGCGGGGGGCTTCTGGGGTGCTGGTGATGTTCTGTGTCTTGGTCAGGTACTGTTTATGCAGGTGTGTTCAATTTGTGACGTTCATTGAACTGTAATTTAGGATACTTGTCCAATTCTTTTTATTTATTTTTATTTTTTTTGAGACGGAGTCTTGCTCTGTCACCCTGGCTGGAGTGCAGTGGCGCGATCTCGGCTCACTGCAAGCTCCGCCTCCTGGGTTCATGCCATCCTCCTGCCTCAGCCTCCCGAGTAGCTGGGACTACAGGTGCCCACCACCACGCCTGGCTAATTTTTTGTATTTTTGTAGAGACAGGGTTTCACTGCGTTAGCCAGGATGGTCTTGATCTCCTGACCTCATGATCCGCCCGCCTAGTCTCCCAAAGTGCTGGGATTACCAGTGTGAGCCACTGCGCCTGGCCCAATACCTGTCCAATTCTTTATACACGTTACCTTCAGTAGGAACTTAACGGTATACAGTGCGCCTGATAAATTGGAGCTGCCGCCTGTACGGCCGCACGTTTCTTGAGACAGCTCTTGCTTCTTCAGCAGTGCCGTGTGTGGCTGGCTGTACTGACACAATCAACCTTTGAGGGTTTCTGTTGCTTTTGTTTGGCATTTCCTTGGGAAATCTTAGTTCTGAGTTCTGCATTCCTGGAGTCTGGGCTCCATTTCACCGAGCCTGGTGGTGCCCTTGGCTCTGATAAAAGAGCACCAGAATCACACAGACACCTTCCCCTGGTGCCACTGTTTGTTTCACTAACCAGCTCTTCTTCCTTGTTGATGACAATCAAATTCAGGGTAAAAATGACCCTGATTGCTTCCTGTATTAGTCTGTTTTCATGCTGCTGACAAAGACGTACCCAAGACTGGGAAGAAAAAGGGGTTTAATTGGACATAGAGTTCCACATGGCTGGGGAGGTCTCAGAATCATGGCGAGAGGCGAAAGGCTCTTCTTACATGGGAGCAGCAAGAGAAAATGAGGAAGAAGCAAAAGTGGAAACCCTGATAAACCCATCAGGTCTCGTGAGACTTATTCACTATCAAGAGAATAGCACGGGAAAGGCTGGTCCCCATGATTCGATGACCTCCCCCGGGTCCCTCCCACAACACATGGGAATTCTGGGAGATATAATTCAAGTTGAGATTTGGGTGGGGGCACAGCTAAACCGTATCACTTCCCTAATGTACTGAGAGAAAATTGTCACCCTGCACCCAGCGTGTTCAGATGAGGCTCTGTTTTCAGTGGAAGGTGTCTGTGCTGAGCAGATGTCTAGATGGTCGATGGCCCCTTCCTGCCTGAGCCTGTCATGTGGGCTGTGTCCTCCATCTGGCACTGTTGTTGATGCCGTCTCCCTTTAACTCAAGAAGCTGATTTCTCTCTCCTTTTGTTCTCAACCCCATTTTCCATGAACATTTGGTTCATTTGTTTCTACTTAAATGTTTATCTTTTAAGTAGATAGAATGGTGTCTTAGTCTATGCTTCTGTAACTGTACACCACACACCGGGTAATTTATAAATAATAGAGATTTATTCCTTACAGTTTTGGAGGGCAGGGAAGTCCAGGATCCAGGCACTGGCAGGTTTGGTGTCTGGTGAGGGCTGTTCTCTGCCTTCCAGGATGGTACCTTGTTGCTGTATCCTCTGGAAAGGACACATTCTGTGCCCTCAGTGGAAGGGATGGAAGGACAAAGGAGGCCTCAGCTAGCCCCCCCTTTTTTGAGACAGGGTTTTGCTCTGTCACTCAATCTAGAGTGCAGTGGCACGATCACATCTCGGTGCAGTATCAACCTCCCAGCCTCAAGCGATCCTTCCACCTCAGTCTCCTGAGTAGCTGGAACCAGACAGGCACACACCACCATGCCTGGCTTGGATTTTTTTAATTTTTTATTTTCTAGAGACGGGGTCTCACTGTGTTGCCCAGGCTTGAACTCCTGGGTTCAAGCAGTCCTCCCTCCTTGGCCTCCCAAAGTGTTGGGATTACAGGTGTGAGCCACTGCACCGTGCCCCTCTACCCCTTCTATAAGGTGCAAATCCATTCATGGGGGCAGAGTCCTTATGACTTAATCACTTTACCAAATTCTCCACCTCACAATACCACCATAATGGGGGCTAAGTTTAAACATGAAATTTGGAGGGGACAGATTCCAACTGTAGCAAGTGGTGCTCCTTCTCTGTATCCCTCTTGTATCAGCTCTTACTCTTTGGAATACGTCGTGCCCACACCCGTTGCCACGTTCAGGCCATGAGACCACTCACTAGGTCTCACTGGCACTTGTGGGATGACGCTTACCTCCTGTGTTTTTTAAAAAGTTGGTTTCATCAGCCATGCTCTGCATATGCAGTGACCTTTGACACTACAAAAATCACTTGTACTCACTTTCCTGTTCTTTTCTCCTGAGATTTTGCAGGCACCTTCTCTGGGCACGTCACATGCGTCATCCTCAGCACCCTGAGTCCTCTTGGTTATTCTGCGCATTTTTTCCTCTGATTAAGTGTTTTTCGGGCCGAGTTTTGATTGACACTCTGTGGCCAGCTGTTCACATCTCATTTCCTCCATTTTCTTCTAAGCCATGACCTTTGACTGGGGAGTGAGATGAAAACAGCAACTCACGTCTCAAGTCCTTCAGGCTCCTACCTGAGGCTGCCCTGCAGTTTCCCAGGGAAACTGAGAGGAGTGCGCCTGGCCATACTTTCCTGAGTGTCTCCCAGCTTCTGAGACCTGTGCTTACTGTACTTTCCTGAGTGCTGCCCGGCTTCTCAGACCTGTGCTTGCTACATCGTTGTCATTTCCAACCCCCCAGTATTCCTGGACAGTGCGTTTCATGTTTTTTTTTTTATTTTTATTTTTTTATTTTCATTTTCATTTTTATTTTATTTATTTATTTTTTTTTGAGATGGAGTCTTGCTCTGTTGCGTAGGCTGGAGTGCAGTGGCACAATCTCGGCTCACTGCAAGCTCTGCCTCCCGGGTTCAGGCCATTCTCCTGCCTCAGCTTCCCGAGTAGCTGGGACTACAGGCGCCCGCCATCACGCCCAGATAATTTTTTGTATTTTTAGTAGAGATGGGGTTTCACTGTGGTCTTGATCTCCTGACCTCGTGATCCGCCTGCCTCGGCCTCCCAAAGTGCTGGGATTACAGGCGTGAGCCACCGCACCCGGCCATTTCATGTTGTTTTTAAACATGGGGACCCAGGCTGTGAATCTGAAGCTGGGCCTCCAGTCCAGGCCCTTTGCTTGGTGCTGCACAGGTCGCTGTGACACGTCCCTCCCGCGGTCTGTTTCTGTGGTTGTCCATTCAGAGGACTCTGAGGATGTGAGGAAACGTTTGTTCTGTGCCAAAGAGCCAGTCAGCTCCTGGAGGCCTTTTACTGGTCATATTTTTGTTAAAGTCACTTATTTCGTGCTGCATGGGAATTGACATCACCTGTGCCTGCACGGAGGACAAGGTTGTGCTCAGCAGATGTGGATGGATGGATGGGCGCATGGGAGATTTAATCAGGGAGGAGTGGCCCAGGGTATGGTGTGGGCACTTGTTCCAAAGGTAACTTCGTGGTGTCACAGGGCAAGCCTCGGCTCTGAAAGGACAAAGACAGCAGCTTTGTAATGCCAAAGGGACCTTGACGCAAAAGCTTGAGTGCCGAATGACAGTGCTTCAGATTTCAAAAGGAATGTCTAAGCCGGAGTATTTTCTGGGAACTGTACTCTTTATTTCATTTTACTTATTTTACATTTTAATTTCAAAAATGTATTTTGGGGTTTAAAAATAAACACAGAACAAACAAAACCCCCAAACCCAGTACCCTAGAGTTGGGTCCACACAGTGGACCTGGCAGTGCCCACGGGACGGAACGACCTCTACTTGTGGACGCCTGTGAGGCACTGGCTGGGCTTGCTCCTGTGGACCTTCTGGCCCCAGCTCACGGGATCCAGCGCGCCTGGAGGCCGCTGTGTGTCATGGAGGGGCCAGGGCCCTACTCTCGGGGCTTCCTGCAGCTTGCTTGGGAAAACTCAGCCTTTCAGGCCCTTGGCACAAACGCATGTCAGATTGAGCTGTCAGCTGGGCTGGCCCAGGAGGAGCACGCAGGTGATTCTGCTTGGCTGCTGCTGACAGGGGCGGCCTCCCAGAGAGTCAGAACATGTGGAAATGGCTTTTCCCGGAACCAGGAGGATGGGGACGCATGATAGGAGGAAGGAAGCCCGGATGGAGTGTGATGAAGGCGCCGCGTGCCTCCTGCAGGCCACATAGCAGGTTTGGTGTGCAGGGTCTCATTTGAAAGCTGGACCAAAGCGTGCTCTCAGCTCACATTTTAGAACTAAAATGCATGTTTTAGATTAGCTACATTTATTGAATAAAGCATTGTTTTCTAGTGTTAATTTTTTGTTTTTGAGATGGAGTTTTGCTCTTGTTGCCCAGGCTGGAATGCAGTGCGATCTTGGCTCACTGCAACCGCTGCCTCCTGGGTTCAGGTGATTTCTCCTGCCTCAGGAGTAGCTGGGATTACAGACATGCGCCACCACGTCTCTGTTTTTAGTAGAGACAGGGTTTCTCCATGTTGGTCAGGCTGGTCTCGAACTCCTGACCTCAGGCGATCCACCCGCATCGGCCTCCCGAAGTGCTGGGATTATAGGCGTGAGTCACCGTGCCTGGCCTAGGGTTAATTTTTTTTTTTTTTTTTTTTTTTTTTTTGGAGATGGAATCTTGCTCTGTCGCCCAGGCTAGAGTGCAGTGGTGCAATCTTGGCTCACTGCAACCTCCACCTCCTGGGTTCAAGCACTTCTCCCTGCCTCAGCCTCCCAAGTAGCTGGGATTACAGGCAAGCACCACCACGCCCGGCTAATTTTTGTATTTTTAGTAGAGATGGGGTTTTGCGATGTTGCCCAGGCTGGTCTCAAATTCCTGACCTCAGGTGATCTGCCCACCTCAGCCTTCCAAAGTGCTGAGATTACAGGTGTGAGCCACCGCACCCGGCCCTAGTGGTAATTTTTAATGAGAATGAGTTGATTATTTTCTGTTGCTCTAACAGACTCTTAAGCTAGAATCCCCCTCCTCCAGGGAGTCTGAGATTATTTTCTTTCTTAAGAGTTACGGTTCCTTGAGAGTAAAAACAACCACCCAGCCTTTCAGACCTATTAATTCAGACGTATTTTGTGTTTTTTTCTGATGGTAGCAATTCTTTTTTCTCTTCTTGACTGTGCGTTAGAGTATGTTTGTTCGACTAAGACGTAGTAAACGTTTTTAATCTCAATATTATGTTTATATCAACACTCCCCCCAAATGCTCAAGTCGTTACTTTGATAATTCTATAAATGATATAATGTTATAAAATTTAAATGCTGTAGCAATAATCATAATAGTTATGTGATGTTTTGGGTTTATAGTAGTAACTATTGTTTACTGAACTTTTGCTGTTTGCTGGGCATTGTGCTTAGTTTTTAATACGCATCATCTCATTAAAATGCTATGATAGGCCAGGCATGGTAGCTCACGCCTGTAATCCCAGCACTTTGGGAGGCCAAGGCAGGCAGATCACCTGAGATCAGGAGTTCGGGACCAGCCTGACCAACATAGTGAAACTTTGTCTCTGCTAAAAATCAGAATTAGCCGGGCATGGTGGCACATGCCTGTAATCCCAGCTACTCAGGAGGCTGAAGCAGGAGAATCGCTTGAACCCAGGAGAGGGCCAGGTGCAATGGCTCACACCTGTAATCCCAGCACTTCGGGAGGCTGAGGCAGGTGGATCACAAGGTCAGGAGTTCAAGACCAGCCTGGCCAATATGATGAAGCCCCGTCTCGACTAAAAATACAAAAATTAGCTGAGAGTGGTGGCGTGCACCTGTAGTCCCAGCTGCTTGGGAGGCTGAGGCAGGAGAATCGCTTGAACCTGGGAGACGGAGGTTGCAGTGAGCCGAGATCCCGCCACTGCAGCCCAGCCTGGGTGGCAGAGCAAGACTGTCTCAGAAAAAAAAAAAAAAAAACAAGGCTAAAAGGATACAAAAATTATGTGAAGTAGGTTACTAGCATCCCCATTTTATGGAGGAAAATCTGAAGTTTCTTGAGATTAAGTCATTTGCCCAACTATTAATGGCAGGAGCTGGAATTTGAACCTGAATCACTGTGATCTCCACTTGCCCATTACCATCTATTGTTAGTGGTTGGTTTTTGTTTGGCAGCTTTATTGAGGTATAGTTGACACACAGTGAAACCTGGGAAGCCGTTCCCACAATCAAGATCATAAGCATCCCCTCACCAGCCATCACCCCTAAACATCTTCTTGTGCCCCTTCCTCCTGTCCTTTCCCATCCCTGGGAAGTCACTGATCTGTTATTTGCATTTTTTTGAGAATTTTATGTAACTGGAATTATACAATATGTACTTCTCCAATATGAATTGTTTCACGTAGCATAATTATTTTGAGCTTGATCGATGATGAGTGTGTCCATAGTGATATTCTAGTATAAATGTAACAGAAATTGTTTATTCATTCACCTGTTGATGGACATTTGAATTACTTCCAGTTTGGGGCTGTCACAAAGAAAGCAGCGATGAACATCTGTGTATAAAGCTTTGTGTGGACATATGCTTTCATTTCTCTTGGATAAATGCTAGAAATGGAATGGTTGGGCCATGTGGTTAAGAAACTCACAAACTGTTCTGCAGAGTGGTTGTGTTACTTTATGTTACACCAGTAGCGTGTGAGGGTTTCAGTTACTTCATATCCCGTCAATGCTCGGTACGGTCAGTCTTTTGAATTTTGGCTGTTCTAATCGGTGTATAATGGTATTTAATGGTTTTACATTGCAGTTTTAATTTATGTACTTTTTTTTTTTTGAGATGGGACCTTGCTCTGTCGCCTAGGCTAGAGTGCAGTGAGATGATCATGGCTCACTGACCCTGGCCTCCTGAGTAGCTGTGAATACAGGCGCACGCCACCATGCTGGCTAATTTTTTTATTTTTTATTTTTGTAGAGACAGGATCTTGCTCTGTTGACCAGGCTCACCTCAAACTCCTGGCCTCAAACTAGCCTCCCACCTCAGCCTCCCAAAGTGTTGGGATTACAGGTGTGAGCCACTGCACCTGGCCTAATTTACATACTTTGAAAATGTTGGTCACTGTCTTCCGGCTTGCATTTTTCTGACAAGAAATCTGATGTCCACCTTATCTTTGTCCTTATCTTCGTCTAATGTAATAATGTTCTTCCCTCTCCCCACCCCCTTTTAAGATTTTTCTCTCACGGTGCTTCTTGTACTTTTCCTCGTTTCTTGTGCTTGGCCATTGAGCTTCTTGGATTTGTGAGTTGATAGTTTTCATCAAATCGGAAACATTTTGGCCATTATCTCTTCAAATACTTTTTTTGTCCTTCTGGTCCCCTGACCTCCCAAATTCAGGAACCCCAAATTAGGCCAGTAGGCCAGTGGTCCCCAGCCTTTTTGGCATCGGGGACTGGTTTTGTGGAAGACAATTTTTCCATGGACCAGGGTTGGTTGGGGATGATTTGGGGACGACTCAAGGGCATTTCATTTATCATTAGATTCTCGTAAGGAGCGTGCAGCCTAGATCCCTCGCCTGCACAGTTGACAGCAGGTTCGTGCTTCTGTGAGAATCTAATGCCCTGGCCGACCTGAAGAGCTCAGGCGGTAATGCTCGCTGGCCCACTGCTCATCTGCTGCTGTATGGCCCGGTTGCTGACAGGCCACGTGGCCAGTATTGGTCTGTGGCCTGGGGACCCCTGTATTAGGCCACTTGAAGTTGTCCAAAGCTTCCCGATGCTATGTTGATTTTTTTTCAGGTTTTTTTTTTTTTTTTTTTAGTTTTATTTTAGATAGCTTCTATTGCTGTGCCTTCACATTTACCAATCTCTGTCGTGTCTAATCTGTTGATCATCTTCCAAGTCTTTATTTAACACAAAAATCTTTCATCTAGCTGCTTTATTTCCTTATCTGCTAATTTTGTCATCTGTGATTTCTGGGCCAGTTTTGATTCGTTGTTTTTTTCCTCATATGGTTTGTATTTTCCTGCTTTTTGGTGTGTCTGGTACTTTTGGTTCAATGCCAGACATTATTGATTGCTAGGTTTTATATCTTATAAATATCCCTGAGCTTTGTTCTGGGACGTTGTTAATTTCCTTGGAAATGGTTTGATCTTTTCTGGCCTTGCTTTTCAACATTGCTAGGTGGGGCCAAAGCAGCATGAAGTCTTGAGGCTTATTTTTTCCTAACGCTGAGGCAAAAGCATTCAGCATATGCTACCCAATGCCCTTTGATGGTGAGTTTCTTCTCTGTCTTGTGGGTGCCAGGCACTGGCTTTTTGGGAGGTTCGTTCTCTCTCTGTACAGCTCTCCTTTCCAGCACTCTGTCCTGTGGATTCGGGCCAGCCCTGTCTCCCTGGACTCCCAGCCGTGGCTCTGCCTGGGTTCCCCTCCATGATGTGGGGCCACCAGGGGCACCCCTTGTTGTTTCCCATCAGTCAGAGGTTACTACCCTTCATTGCTTCCTCAGGTCCAGTGTCTTAAATCATCCTTGTGCATGCGTGCATGCGTGTGTGTGTGTGTGTGCGTGATGTTTTAGGTAAATCTGTAACTCTATTTGTACTGAAGTGGATTTTTTAAATTGCTCAGATGACTTTAATTCAATGCATCAGAATGATGGGGCTCTCTGGCCCTGTGAGCACAGTGTTCTGGGGTCTGGTTATGGACCTGGCTCGTGCTTAGGTTGGTGGTGGCTAGCCTCTGCTCTGCTGTCAGCAGCAGTGCCCCTGTCCTCGGCTCCATCAGTGCACACTTGGCACACGTGGGACTGTCCAGTCAGCATGAGAACGGACTCCTTCAACTGCAGCTCACTCTTCTGCTTTCACATTCATACTTAAAGGTTTTACTTAAACTTTGTAACAACATTCTAGTTGCACTTTTACATCTTTTAAAACTTTCTTTTGATGGAAAGTATGACTATTTCTAATAAAGAGATTGACAAGCTTGATTTTTGATGTGAGATATAAGATCCGAATGCTTTTATGATTATAAAATAATTTGTCGGATTTATCCATGTAACAACATTTGAAATTATTTTTCGCTCTTGGTAATTAAGATTTTTTTATGTCTGTGTCCTTTGATAAAAAAGTAAACTGTACTAAATGTTAAAATTTTGGAACATGTAGGATGTTCCAAAATTTTAACCTGCATGGTGGCAGGCACCTGTAATCCCAGCTACTCAGGAGGCTGAGGTAGGAGAAGTGATTGAACCTGGGAGGCGGAGGTTGCAGTGAGCGAAGATTGCGCCACTTCACTCCGGCCTGGGCGATAGAGCGAGACTCCATATCCAAAAAAAAAAAAAAAAAGTGTGTGTGTGTGTGTGTGTGTGTGTGTATGTGTATATATTGTCTCATCTAGAGATAACTATTAGTAATCTGGTGTATTTTCTCTTAGATGCATATATATTTTTTTCAAATTGTTTTCTCCACTTTCTATTTTAGTGGAAGACTTATAACCCTGCCTTCTCCCGGTTGGAAATCTGGTTCCGGTTTTTCTTTGTGGTGCTCACCTTCATCGTCACTGTGAGTACCATTCGCCTGATGGACCGCAGCAGATCCCAGCCAGGAAGAAGCTGGTTTATGCAGTTAGGATCTTCGGTGCAAGCCACATGGAGATTGATCTGAACTCAGATGCTCCATCCAGTGGGCTGTGCTGATATTACAACTCTGTGTGTCTGCCGAGATGCTGCCGTGCAAGAAAAAATGATGTGGTATCATGTATTCAGGATTTCTGTAGAGTGCACGTCCGTGACTTTTAAGTAAATGTTGATCATGTGCGGTGAAAAGTGCCATTTCACCTGTGTGGAAGGAAGCTGCCTTACTTGAATGAGCTTCTCTGAGTGCAGATGCAGCATGCTCTTGGGTTTTTATATTTTATATTTTTATAGTTGTGCCAGTCCTTTGCGTTTTTGGGCATTTTCAGGAATAAGGCCAAAGAGAAGTGTTTTGGAAATGCAGGCATTGGGCTCGTTTGGGATCTGAGGTTTGTGTCCACAAACCCACATGACTTTGGGGGAAATGCTTACCCTGAGAAGCCCAAGGGAGCCCCCCCAGAGCCCCAGTCTGCAAAGATAAGAATTGGTAAATTGGAGGAAGGGAAAGTGTGCTTCATTTAGTGATCTGTTGCCGCCCGAAGTGTGGCGTTCTGCCTGCATCAGCTGCTTGTCCTTGTGCGGGATGGTGGGGAGGTGACATTTAGGAAATGTGTCCACCCAGGAACACTTGGTATTTTTCAGAGTAACTGTGCATGGAAGGACACAGGCGCGTGCACATGTGAGGGGGTGCTCTGCTGGAGCGAAGGGCGTGGGCGCTAGAGCCACAGGGAGCTGGAGGGAAGGGCGTGGGCGCTAGAGCCACAGGGAGCTGGAGGGAGGGGCGTGGGCGCTAGAGCCACAGGGAGCTGGAGGGAAGGGCGTGGGCGCTAGAGCCACAGGGAGCTGGAGGGAAGGGCGTGGGCGCTAGAGCCACAGGGAGCTGCAGGTTGTGGTGCTTACGCCCAGCCCAGGGCCTCCAGGATCTCAGGGCTCCCGCAGTGAGCTTCATAAATGAAAGTAGAAAGCTGTTATTTGTGTCTGGGCAGCCAGAAACACTTGCTTCTTCTCAAAGGCTCTCTGATGCCCTGAGATTCTCCTGCCACACTCTGGAGTCCAAAGAGCTATTTATTACTCAGGGCCCCAAGTATGTTCTTAAAAAGAGGGAAGATGGTCCCTAGGCAAGGAAACCCACATTGCCTAGAAAACTGTTGGCTTATATCAGATTATACGAAAACAATCAACAACAAAACCCTGGCCTAAAAATTATGTTATATAATGTTTTAAAGCAGTTTAAAGAAACTTATTCCATGGGCCTAACACACCTTCTTCAGGGAGGTGTTTGAAAAGAAACGCATCCTCTGACCTTTGTTACAAGACTCCTACATTCTCTTGGCTTTTCATGGGCAAGCCCTGGCACCATCTTGGAAGCTGCTGCCATCTGTAGCAGTTGCGCTGCCGGGAACATGAGGCTCCTGTCACACCCACAGATGTGGCCTGTGTCCTGGGTGGGTTCGTCTGAGTGCTGGCTCTCTGGAGCAGGCCCAGTGGAAGTGGGCCTTGTTTTCCTCGCCGTGGTGGTGAGAGGGTGGGTCCTCTTTCCTTTTGCAGGGATTACGTTCCTTCTCCTTTCCTGCTCCTGTGAGGACAGCTCGGAACCTGTCTTAGCTGTGGCTTCTCTGCAGAAAGTAACAACCTTGTCTTGGTTGTCACTGATGGCCTCCAGGACACAGTAGGCAATTCAGCCAGGGCTTAAGGCAGCGACTCTTAGTGGGGCACCTAGACCATTGATTAGAGAAGACAACCTGGTATGCCGGCAAGGTGTGAGCAAAGGCTGCAGGCAAGGTGTGAGCAAAGGCAGTAACTGGAGGCCTGATTTGGTTTGCAGTGCCTGTTTGCGCATTCCCTCCGGAAATTTTCCATGAGAGACTGGGGCATCGAGCAGAAGTGGATGTCTGTTCTCCTGCCTCTGCTGCTACTTTACAATGGTGGGTAGTTCCATTTTTACTTAGGAACTTTTCCCTTTAAAATGTAAAGCTGGAGGCCAGGTGCAGGGTTGTGCCTGTCATCCCAGCACTTTGAGAGGCTGGGGCAGGAGGACTGCTTGAAGCCAGGAGTTTAACACCAGCCTGGGTAACATAGCAAGACTCTACAAAAAATAAAATTTAGCTGGGCATGGTGGTGCGTGCCTGTGGTCCCAACTGCTTGGGAGGCTGAGGTGGGTGGATTGCTTGAGCCCAGGAGTCTGAGGCTGCAGTGAGTCATGATGACACCACTTCACTCCAGCCTGGATAACAGAGCAAGACCCTGTCTCTTAAAACAAAACAAAACTAAAGCTGGAAGCCATCTTGGAGATGGCCTAGGCCCAGAAGAGCCCGTAGGGAGCCCCAGAAGGAACATGTAGCCGTGTGCTCCCTGCCACCCCAGGAGCCATGTTCCACCGAGCTGGGGCAGATGCCTGGCTCTCTAACAAATAGGCGGCTGTTCGGTAGTTAAAACTTGGACGTGCTACAGACACAGCAGTCCTGGAACTTGGCTGAAGGTGGCCAGACATGGCTGGCTGTTCCTCTTTTCCTGCTCCAAAAGTGTTTGCTTCCCGAGCTGCCGCAGTCGGAACTCCCAGGCTCCGGGAGGAGCTGATGGCAGTGGCATACGGCGCTCTGTCGTGATCAGTGCAGCAATCTGTTCAGTGGCTTTTAGGTGTTTTGGAAAACAAAATAGCCATTGGTTCACTACCTTTCCTTTGGCTCTGACCAGGGAGAAAAGCTGGTAGTGAGCTCAGACCCTGCAGTGGGATGGGGTGCTCTCTGCTAGGTGCTGACCCCGCACAGGTATGGGGTGCTGTCTGCCAGGTGCTGACCCCGCAGAGGTATGGGGTGCTCTCTGCTAGGTGCTGACCCCGCAGAGGTATGGGGTGCTGTCTGCCAGGTGCTGGCGGGCCTGTTTTCCACATGGATTTCTGCCCTTTGTGTTCCAGATCCGTTCTTCCCCCTCTCCTTCCTGGTCAACAGCTGGCTCCCAGGGATGCTGGATGACCTCTTTCAGTCCATGTTCCTGTGCGCCCTGCTGCTCTTCTGGCTGTGCGTGTACCACGGGATTCGTGTCCAGGTGAGCCGGAGCCGCCCTCACTGCCGGGGGAGGTTCCAGACTGTGTCCTCCCTCCCGAACTCTGAGGACAGCCCAGAAAGGTGAATTTATCCATGGAAGCCTGTCTGCAGGCCCATACTCAATGGAAAAATCACGTTATGTACAATTACCAATTTGGTTTTCTTTATTTCTTACTTCTTATTTTTTTCTTTTTAGGGAGAAAGAAAGTGTTTAACTTTCTATTTGCCTAAATTCTTCATTGTTGGACTATTGTGGTTGGCTTCTGTTACGCTAGGAATATGGCAAACGTGAGTAATTCTATTATGTGTGAAACTTCAGTCATGAAAAGCATTTGACAAAAGTGGAAAGGCCAGGCCAGGCGTAGTGGCTCACGCCTGTAATCCCAGCACTTTGACAGGCTGAGGCAGGCAAGTCACTTGAGCTCAGGAGTTCAAGACCAGCCTGGGCAACATGGTGACACCCCGTCTCTACCAAAAATACAAAAATTAGCTGGCCGTGGTGGCGCATGCCTGTAGTCCCAGCTCCCTGGGAGGCTGAGGTGGGAGGATCGCTTGAGCCTGCGAGGCACAGGTTGCAATGAGCCGAGATTGCACCACTGCACTCCAGCCTGGGCAACAGAGTGAGACCTTGTCTCAAAAAAAAAAAAAAAGGTGAAAAGGCTTACAATCAAACTGTGTTCTGTGAACTCATCCAGAAAAGAATCAGCTTTCAGTTTATCTAACTTGGTGACACAGTAGACACCCCTTATTTTTGGGGGATTTGTTCCCAGACCCCCATTAACTATCTGCGGTCTTGGATAGTACTGATCCTTATATATAGCTGTTTATACCCTATGTATACCCATACTATGTTTTTCTTTTTTTTTTAGACGAATAGGAGGGTGACTTTAGTCACAGGCTGCTCAAAAACACAGGCTGCAGAGAACAGGATTTGGATTGGCAAACTCATTGTACCCTCATGTCACACTCCTTCTTTGCTCCTACCTTGGAGCATTTTGGCTGGGAGGCAAAACCCCAATGCTATTACAGGCAGTCCCCTTACCCCTCATTCCACACCCACTACCCAGAAACTGAAGCCTCATGACCCGCTTTGAGGAAAAATATCCCGTCCTGGTTTTCTGTGTTCCAGTCGGCCTTCCAAACACATCCTCCCCCTGGGACACAGACTTCAGGCCAGCCTGTATTACGTCAGGTTGCTAGTTGCCCTTTTCTGGGAGACTCCCAATGACTGTGCCCTCTCTGCTTAAAGACTGTAGAGGCAACTGGTGTTCTCACGCAAAGTGGCCAGGGTGTGGGAGACTAGATCTTTGACTCTGGCAGTCTCCAGGACTGTATGCAAGGCCAGGCCCAGGTGGGCATACTGGCAAAGGCTTTTGGGAACCCGGCTAGGGAGGAAGTAGGGAGCATCCGTTTCCATGATGATTCTCTCCAGTGGGATCTGCCTCAGCACTTCCCGGGCTTCTCAGGTGGAGGAGTACGTCAGGACTGCCATGAGGCCCACCGACGTTGGGAAAGTACTTCAGCAGGGGTTCCATGGCCAGGTAGCTGCAGTGAAGCAATGCTTGTGTATCTTGTAGTCAGAGAACACACATTTTCTCATGGTGTCCAGCAGATCCTCGTCAGCTTGCTGGCAGAGGATCACCAAAGCTTCTCTAGAGACGCAGCCAGCTCAAGCTGTCTCTTAAATACCTTGTGATGTTCTGGGACAGGCATGGTGCACTTGTAGGAGTAATTGAAGCCTGTTTCTCCAAATGCCACAGTCGTGGGGTGCCTTAAGGCTTGTAAAAGATTTCTTTCCTGACTCTTATTGTAGTAACATGGAAAATGAGGGTGACAGCCAAAGGCCCCCCAGACCAGATTCTCTTTCAACAGCTCCCCCCGTAGGCAATTTGTCAGGGTGAGGGTGGCAGAGGTCAGAGATGCAACCCTGAAATTCCTTAGAGAAGGAGCTGCTGTAAATTCTTCTGAACTTAGTCAAGGTCCCTTTGAAAGACAACTTGGAATACAGCATATCCAAATGACAGTGGGTATCAGTGAAGCCCTGCTCTAGGCTTGGCTCCCAGTGGCTCTTTGGCAGGGAGCTGGATGTGTGTCCTCCACAAGGACACAGAGGCATCTCCTCTTGGAATGTTCTTCTTTGCTTCACCTCTTTTCCTCCCGAGCTTCTGGAGAAGTGAAATGAGTGAGAATTCTGGGAGCTGCCTTCCTCTGAGGCCTCCACATCTCTGGAGACGTTATGGGCGCTCACTGCAGAGTTGGGGGAAGAATCACTCAGGCACTCGGGCTGCTCCTCCCAGCCTGTGCTGCGTCATTGCTGCTGCTGCTCACAGACAGGTAGCCGGCAGGCTTGGGGCTGCTGGTGCACTAGCTGACATACTCACACCAAGGACTACTGTAAAAATGAGGCAGGTACATGACATAGTAGTGAAGGAAGAAGGCTCTGGAATGGCTGAGGGTTTCAGTGGGACGGGTTCCTCCTGAGAGAATCTGACCGTGGAGATCTCCAGATCAGACCAGTTGCTTCCTGAAGAGGGGTGCTCCATCACCACCTCCCTATCTTTATGCTTTCGGATTTCTAAATGAGAGAGTCATCCAGAAACTCGAGGGGTGGAGAGCATTTGTCAGTGACTGTCCTTTGGTCCCCAAGGGGCTCCTCAGTGGGTTTCTCCTGAGGGTCTGTGACTACTCTCCTGTCACAGAAGCTGCTCCTCTCTGGCACTGTCTTGTCCTTCTCCACTGACCTCTGGGATTGACTATCCTTCTCAGCAGGGGTGACTGTGACACTCCTGGCTGTTCCTTCTCAGTCTTGGCTGGTCCTTCACTCCTAGCTGGTCCTTCTCCACAACTGGGACACTCTGCTATGCTTGGTTTTGAACTAGTGACAGCCTCTCCCTTCCTTTTCGGCATTGATTTCCCTGGATGCCCTGGTTAGCCTCCAGGTAGATCATTGTGGAGCCCTGATGTCGAAGTCTATCCGTCTTCCTTTTCTGGACCTTGTTGGGTTCCTCAGTCGTATCATTCTGACTCTCAGCTTCAGTTGCAAATTAAGAGTTCATGGAGTTACGAGAACTATCTTTGGAATCAGCCTTAAAGCTGCAGGCTTCCTTTTCTAGAGAAGCTATTTCTTCTAGAAAGGGATTGGTAGGATGTGGAGGGGTTCCCCCTGACGAAAGGACTCCCTGAGTGCTCTGAATCAGGCAGCCTTTGGTGGCGGCCCCGCCCACACCTGTGCCCGAGGAATGCCGGGGAGGAATGTAAGAGTTAAAGAAAGGAAAGAAACAGGAAAAGCGGCTCAACAGTCAAAGACAGGTTTGTTTTGGACAATAAACCTGAGAGGGCCTTCTGGCCGAGTTAGGTCAGAGTCACTCTCTCTTACAGGCTAAGAGTATTTAAGGGTTCAGGGCAGAAGAGGTTATCACAGGCTTGGAATGTTTCTGTATCTCTTCGCCTTGCTTATCTGGGAGGGGGAGGTTTTGTGTCTGTTCCCATACAACTCCCTGCAGCTGCAGGGATACCCCCCCCACCTCCTAGTCTGCTTTTAGCTTGTCTATCTTAGCGCATTTAAAGGGAAAGGAATGTGCTTATTAGGGCCTACTTTTTTACTGGGGCCCATTTTTGGGGGCCCATTTACACTCCCAAAACATGAGTGTGAAGTTCGGTGGTTACCCAAGAGACTTGGGTGCCCAGCTGTGCCCAGCTGTCTTATCTGTGTTTTACTGTCTACTCTTTCTGGCTGCTTTTTGTTAGAAGTGATTTCCTTGAAACGTAAGAAGTTAGAAAGGGAGCTGGAACTGAAAATGGGGGTGTTTGTCCAAGATGACGGTGCTCCTGCTCTGTCATTCCAGACCCTATAGTTATAAAAGGACCAGGGGCGACGTGTTCTTTCTGGTTACTTCCTGCTGGGTGGGAGAGGTAGAGAGTCCCTTGGTCTCGGATTGACTGCGGGAGCAATGCCGTCTGTAGATGTTTTGGATAGTTGTCTGTGAAATAGCCATGCTCCTGTCAGTTAAGAATCTTTGAAAAAGGTTAATTAGGCAGGGTAAAAACATTAGTCCTAGGCTTATTATTAGGAGAGGGCCCAGGAATGGGATGACCCATGGTATGCTTTTTGTTCCCAAACCAATAATTCATTTGGTTGTTTTGGTATTCGCTTAGCATTTTAGCCCTTTGTTTGAGATTTTTAGC
The DNA here is from genome assembly GCF_000001405.40 of Homo sapiens. Lineage (NCBI taxonomy): Eukaryota > Metazoa > Chordata > Mammalia > Primates > Hominidae > Homo > Homo sapiens. The sequence goes on from NC_000006.12 coordinate 158,612,648, forward strand.
AGCCTCTCTTACGAGACCTGATTGGTTGAGATAGAAGCAACATTTCTTTCCCAATGAGAGGCAGAGGCACATGTTTGGAAAGACCCATGTGTTATTTTTTATTAGTAACTGTTATTCCTGCTGTAAGGATAGTAATTAAGCAAAATGCTACGGTAATTGAGATTGTCTGTCTGATATCCTACCCTCAGGGTGCTGCAGTACATAGTCCTACTGCAAATAGTCCAGTAAAGCAGTTCCCGCAAGGGTGGCATGGTAAATAATTTCCATAAAAAAGCTTTAATATTTGGCTTAAAAGGAGAGGTAGAAATGACAAAAAGTACTTGGTGAGGTAAGAGTGAGACTGAGTCAGATGAGTAATTGTCACTCAGTTAGTTATTTTTTATGATTTTCAACTTAAGATTTCTTATTTCTTTACATTGATATTTAGGACGTTCCTCTGGGCTGTTGGGATTGCTTCCTCAGCTTTTCAGGCTTTGACTTGAGTGTGATGTATGCAGGGGTTGATTCCTGTAACAGATGTAATTTAAACTGTCGAAAACCATAAAAATTGAAAAACATCAGTCAAGACTAGAATTTAACAGGTGTGCTATAGTTTTTGAAACCTAATTTTCTCTCTCCAGTTTACCATTTTTATTAAAAGACAAATCATAATAGGACTGGTTTGCTTTATTATACTTGGCTTATTTATTTGTATACAGTGCAGCAAGAGTAATTATTTGCTACATACACCTTTTAAATTGGCTTTGATGGAACTTTTTTCCATAGAAGGAATCAGATAAGACTTTCCAAAGCCAAACCCAGCCATGGATTTGTACCATTAAATACCTATGAGTTGGGTGAATTCCTTTCCTCTTGAGGTTTCAAGATAACTTGGGGTTCCTGGCCTGTCAAAGTGACATGCTTTGCTTAGCACAGGTCAGAAACTCTGTACAGGGACTGTGTACACAGAATATGAGACCAGTTTCCAAGGGCTTTCTTGGCTTCCTAAGTCAAGTTCGATTCCTTAAAGGAGAGCACACCATTCCAGTGAAAGCCTTGGCAGAATAACCAGTTTCTCCAATTGTGTTCTGTTACGCAAGAAAATATATTCTTACCGCACTGATGCACACAACTATATTGTTGTGGTTTAAGAATACTTATAACTAGTTTTCAAATTCTAGAGGAACTAGGCAGAGAGAAACAAACATCTTTAAATCCTAATATTTACAGGAGTATATTTAGTTTAAGACAAGTTTCCTTGACTCTGGAAAATAAAATAAGGATTGGCAGTGTCCTGTTCGGATACAATCAGAAACACAATTGACAAATAAATTTGGTTATTTCTGTGGTTTACAGTAACCCAACATAACCTTACTTGTGATTAATAGCACATATTTAGATACTAGAACCTTAGACATCCCATACAGTTTTAGAACATATGTTAATATTATTCCCTCAAATAAAACCTATTGGACATTATCTTGACAATTTCATGTACCTAAACATGTTAAATAATCCTGTTTACCTCTTTTCTGGATGCTCCAGGGGCCTTCTGCAGCACCCAAAGGCCGGGGGTTAGGAAAGACAACCTTGAGACTAAAGTTTGATTTGGGGAAGCCTGTTAAATATGTTGAAAATTTGAAACACTTGATAGTATGAAATAGAACTTTAGATTACCATTAAGTTTTTGCTTCGCCAAAATGATGAGTTAAACATTTGAAAGCAAAAACCATTCCTCATCCTTTTTATTACATAAAAATCCTCTTTAAGAGAGAAAGTTGAATTTTATCCTTGCATTCGTTTGCTATTAATATTAACCCTAATTTTTAATGAAACCTTATAGACAATCCTATTTAAAAAAAATTTTTTTTTAATTACACTTTAAGTTCTAGGGTACATGTGCACAACGTGCAGGTTTGTTACATATGTATACATGTGCCATGTTGGTGTGCTGCACCCATTAACGCATCATTTACATTAGGTATATCTCCTAATGCTGTCCCTCCAACCTCCCCCCACCCTACGACAGGCCCTGTTGTGTGATGTTCCCCACCCTGTGTCCAAGTGTTCTCATTGTTCATTTCCCACCTATGAGTGAGAGTATGTGGTATTTGGTTTTCTGTGCTTGGCGATAGTTTGCTCAGAATGATGGTTTCCAGCTTCATCCATGTCCCTGCAAAGGACATGAACTCATCCTTTTTTATGGCTGCATAGTATTCCATGGTGTATATGTGTCACATTTTCTTAATCCAGTCTATCATTGATGAACATTTGGGTTGGTTCCAAGTCTTTGCTGTTGGGAATAGTGCTGCAATAAACATACGTGTGCATGTGTCTTTATAGTAGCATGATTTGTCATCCTTTGGGTATATATCCAGTAATGGGATGGCTAGGTCAAATGGTATTTCTAGTTCTAGATCCTTGAGGAATTGCCACACTGTCTTCCACAACGGTTGAACTAGTTTACACTCCCACCAACAGTGTAAAAGTGTTCCTCTTTCTCTACATCCTCTCCAGGACCTGTTGTTTCCTGACGTTTTAATGATTGCCATTCTAACTGGTGTGAGTTGATATCTCATTGTGGTTTTGATTTGCATTTCTCTGATGGCCAGTGATGATGAGCATTTTTTCATGTGTCTTTTGGCTGCAGAAATGCCTTCTTTTGAGAAGTGTCTGTTCATATCCTTCACCCACTTTTTGATGGGATTGTTTGATGCTTTCTTGTAAATTTAAGTTCTTTGTAGATTCTGGATATTAGCCCTTTATCAGATGAGTAGATAGCAAAAATTTTCTGCCATTCTGTAGGTTGCCTGTTCACTCTGATGGCAATTTCTTTTGCTGTGCAGAAGCTCTTTAGTTTAATTAGATCCCATATGTCTATTTTGGCTTTTGTTGCCATTGCTTTTGGTGTTTTAGTCATGAAGTCCTTGCCCATGCCCATGTCCTGAATGGCATTGCCTAGGTTTTCTTCTAGGGTTTTTATGGTTTTAGGTCTAACATTTAAGTCTTTAATCCATCTTGAATTAATTTTTGTATAGGGTGTAAGGAAGAGATCCCATTTCAGCTTTCTACATATGGCTAGCCAGTTTTCCCAGCACCATTTATCAAATAGGGAATCCTTTCCCCATTTCTTGTTTTTGTCAGGTTTGTCAAAGATCAGATGGTTGTAGATGTGTGATATTATTTCTGAGGGCTCTGTTCTGTTCCCTTGTTCTACATCTCTGTTTTGTTACCAGTACCATGCTGTTTTGGTTACTGTAGCCTTGTAGTATAGTTTAAAGTCAGGTAGCATGATGTTCCAGCTTTGTTCTTTTTGCTTAGGATTGTCTTGGCAATGTGGGCTCTTTTTTGGCTCCATATAAACTTTAAAGTAGTTTTTTCCAATTCTGTGAAGAAAGTCCTTGGTAGCTTAATGTGGATGGCATTGAATCTATAAATTACCTTGGGCAGTATGGCCATTTTCACGATATTGATTCTTCCTATCCATGAGCATGGAATGTTCTTCCATTTGTTTGTGTCCTCTTTTATTTCGTTGAGCAGTGGTTTGTAGTTCTCCTTCAAGAGGTCCTTCACATCCCTTGTAAGTTGGATTCCTAGGTATTTTATTCTCTTTGAAGCAATTGTGAATGGGAGTTCACTCATGATTTGGCTCTTTGTTTGTCTGTTATTGGTGTATAGGAATGTTTGTGATTTTTGCACATTGATTTTGTATCCTGAGACTTTCCTAAAGTTGCTTATCAGCTTAAGGAGATTTTGGGCTGAGACGATGGGGTTTTCTAGATATACAATCATGTCATCTGCAAACAGGGACAATTTGACTTCCTTTTTTCCTAATTGAATACCCTTTATTTCTTTCTCCTGCCTGACTGCCCGGGCCAGAACTTCCAATACTATGTTGAATAGGAGTGGTGAGAGAGGGCATCCCTGTCTTGTGCCAGTTTTCAAAGGGAATGCTTCCAGTTTTTGCCCATTCAGTATGATATTGGCTGTGGGTTTGTCATAAATAGCTCTTATTATTTTGAGATACGTCCCATCAACACCTAGTTTATTGAGAGTTTTTAGCATGAAGCGCTGTTGAATTTTGTCAGAGGCCTTTTCTGCATCTATTGAGATAATCACGTGGTTTTTGTCTTTGGTTCTGTTTATATGCTGGATTACATTTATAGATTTGTATATGTTGAACCAGCCTTGCATCCCAGGGATGAAGCCAACTTGATCGTGGTGGATAAGCTTTTTGATGTGCTGCTGGATTCGGTTTGCCAGTATTTTATTGAGGATTTTCACATCAATGTTCATCAGGGATATTGGTCTAAAATTCTCTTTTGTTGTGTCTCTGGCCAGGCTTTGGTGTCAGGATGATGCTGGCCTCATAAAATGAGTTAGGGAGGATTCCTTCTTTTTCTATTGATTGGAATAGTTTCAGAAAGAATAATAGCAACTCCTCCCTGTACCTCTGGTAGAATTCGGCTGTGAATCCGTCTGGTCCTGGACTTTTTTTCGTTGGTAAGCTATTAATTATTGCCTCAATTTCAGAGCCTGTTATTGGTCTATTAAGAGATTCAGCTTCTTCCTGGTTTCGTCTTGGGAGAGTGTATGTGTCCAGGAATTTATCTATTTCTTCCAGATTTTCTAGTTTATTTGAGTAGAGGTGTTTATAGTACTCTCTGATGGTAGTTTGTATTTCTGTGGGTTCGGTGGTGATATCCCCTTCATCATTTTTTATTGCATCTATTTGGTTCTTCTCTCTTCTTTATTAATCTTGCTAGCGGTCTATTTTGTTGATCTTTTCAAAAAACCAGCTCCTGGATTCATTGATTTTTTTGAAGGGTTTTTTTTGTGTCTCTATCTCCTTCAGTTCTGCTCTGATCTTAGTTATTTCTTGCCTTCTGCTAGCTTTTGAATGTGTTTGCTCTTGCTTCTCTAGTTCTTTTAATGGTGATGTTAGGGTGTCAATTTTAGATCTTTCCCGCTTTCTCTTGTGGGCATTTAGTGCTATAAATTTTCCTCTACACACTTCTTTAAATGTGTCCCAGAGATTCTGGTATGTTGTGTCTTTGTTCTCATTGGTTTCAAAGAACATCTTTATTTCTGCCTTCATTTCGTCATTTACCCAGTAGTCATTCAGGAGCAGGTTGTTCAGTTCCCATGTAGTTGTGAGGTTTTGAGTGAGTTTCTTAATCCTGAGTTCTAATTTGATTGCACTGTGGTCTGAGAGACAGTTTGTTATAATTTCTGTTCTTTTACATTTGCTGAGGAGTGCTTTACTTCCAACTATGTGGTCAATTTTGGAATAAGTATGATGTGGTGCTGAGAAGAATGTATATTCCATTGATTAGGGATGGAGAGTTCTGTAGATGTCTGTTAGACCTGCTTGGTGCAGAGCTGAGTTCAAGTCCCGGATATCCTTGTTAGCTTTCTGTCTTGTTGATCTGTCTAATGTTGACAGTGGGGTGTTAAAGTCTCCCATTATTATTGTGTGGAAGTCTAAGTCTCTTTGTAGGTCTCTAAGGACTTGCTTTATGAATCTGGTTGCTCCTGTATTGGGTGCATATATATTTAGGATAGTTAGCTCTTCTTGTTGCATTGATCCCTTTACCATTATGTAATGGCCTTCTTTGTCTCTTTTGATCTTTGTTGGTTTAAAGTTTGTTTTATCAGAGACTAGGATTGCAACCCCTGCTTTTGTTGTTGTTGTTGTTGTTGTTTTCCATTTGCTTGGTAGATATTCATCCATCCCTTTATTTTGAGCCTATGTGTGTCTCTGCACGTGAGATGGGTCTCCTGAATACATCATACTGATGGGTCTTGACTCTTTATCCAATTTGCCAGTCTGTGTCTTTTAATTGGGGCATTTAGCCCATTTACGTTTAAGGTTAATATTGTTATGTGTGAATTTGATCCTGCCATTATGATATTAGCTGGTTATTTTGCTTGTTAGTTGATGCTGTTTCTTCCTAGCATTGATGGTCTTTACAGTTTGGCATGTTTTTGCAGTGGCTGGTACCGTTGTTCCTTTCCATGTTTAGTGCTTCCTTCAGGAGCTCTTGTAAGGCAGGCCTGGTGGTGACAAAAATCTCTCAGCATTTGCTGTCTGTAAAGGATTTTATTTCTCCTTCACTTATGAAGCTTAGTTTGGCTTGATACGAAACTCTGGGTTGAAAAGTGTTTTCTTTAAGAATGTTGAATATTGGCCCCCACTCTTCTGGCTTGTAGAGTTTCTGCTGAGAGATCAGCTATTATTCTGATGGGCTTCCCTTTGTGAGTAACCTGACCTTTCTCTCTGGCTGCCCTTAACATTTTTTCGTTCATTTCAACCTTGGTGAATCTGACAATTATGTGTCTTGGGGTTGCTCTTCTCAAGGAGTATCTTTGTGGCGTTCTCTGTATTTCCTGAATTTGAATGCTGGCCTGCCTTGCTAGGTTGGGGAAGTTCTCCTGGGGGATAATATCCTGAAGAGTGTTTTCCAACTTGGTTCCATTCTCTCTGTCACTTTCAGATACAACAATCAAACATAGATTTGGTCTTTTCACATAGTCCCATATTTCTTGGAGGCTTTGTTCGTTTCTTTTTACTCTTTTTTCTCTGAACTTCTCTTCTTGCTTCATTTCATTCATTTGATCTTCAGTTACTGATACCCTTTCTTCCACTTGATCGAATCGGCTACTGAAGCTTGTGCATGCGTCACGTAGTTCTTATGCCATGGTTTTCAGCTCCATCAGGTCGTTTAAGGTCTTCTCTGTGCTGTTTATTCTAGTTAGCCATTTGTCTAATCTTTTTTCAAGGTTTTTAGCTTCTTGGCGATGGGTTCGAACATCCTCCTTTAGCTCGGAGAAGTTGGTTATTACCGATCTTCTGAAGCCTACTTCTGTCAACTCGTCAAAGTCATTCAGAGGAAGGAGTTTTGGAGGAAGGAGAGACCTAGGGAGGGTTTTTTGTTTTGTTTTTGTAAGAGAAGGATGTTGGCCAGGCGCGGTGGCTCACGCCTATAATCCCAGCACTTTGGGAGGCCAGTGCAGGCCGATCATGAGGTTAGGAGATTGAGACCATCCTGGCCAACATGGTGAAATGCCGTCTGTACTAAAATACAAAAAATTAGCCAGGCGTGATGGTACACACCTGTAGTCCCAGCTACTTGGGAGGCTGAGGCAGGAGAATTACTTGCACCTGGGAGGCAGAGGTTGCAGTGAGCTGAGATTGCGCCACTGCACTCCAGCCTGGCGACACAGCGAGACTCCGTCTCAAAAAAAAAAAAAAAAAAAAAAGGAGGATGTCATGAGGGGTGCAAGGTTGACATAGAGAGGGTAGAGGAAAGCCTGAGTATAGGGAACCTCTTGCCATTTGCCATTCCTGGTGATAAAATTGTCAAGGTCCCTGAGAATCTGAAAGTTAAAGGGTGCTGTTCTCAGGCAATTGGCTGTTATTATCTTGTTTGTATTGGGACCAGGCCATATTGCAATAAAAAACTAAACACTTTGGCTTTAGGAGTCCCTGTGAGCCAAGTTTGGCGAGGTTGTGAAGGAGACAGCCCAGAGGGGAGGCGTGGGAATGTGGGATGGTTTGGCACCATGTGGGCTGGTGAGAGGAGGCCCGGGGGGGTCTATTTTTATTAGGCATCCCCAGACAAGAGACCTGGAATCTTCTTTCCAAAGAGGACAGTTAAGCTGAGAAGAAACTGGGCGCCCCCAAGATGTCCTCTAGCTTAGTCCCACTGGTCCTCTGAGGACTGGGACGGCAGACCGAACTTTCTCAGGTACCACGAGAAAGCCAGGAGAAGGCAGATCTTACCAGTCAGCTGAATTAGTGTCTGATGTTGGATGTTCCAGTTGGAATCACCAAAGGGCTTCCCGAACCGGCATGCGTGAGGAAGAGAGAGGGAGAGGGAGAGAGAAAGAAGAGGGAGAAAGAGGGAGCAAGGGTTAGGGAGCGAAATACCCATCGCTGGTGGTTGGAGGTGGATTCCTGAGACCTGAGGGTTTTGAGAGCCCACTGGGGAGTAGCCCCCGCCCGAGCCTCGCAGTCCCCTTCAGATTAGTTGTCCTCGCACAAATTGCTGGAAGAGTGAAGTGAGAGAAAAGATGGGGTGCATGGCCAGAGACTCTCAGGATCCAGGAGTTAACTCAGGACAAGCTGCCGCTGCCCACTGCTTCCTGGGTTGCAAGAGAGCCTCTGTCCCCAACATCTGTCCCGGGTTTCAGCACCAAATGTAAGTGTTAAAGAGGAAAGAAACACGAAAAGCAGCTCAACAGTGAAAAATAGGTTTATTTTGGACAATAAACCTGAGAGGGCCTTCTGGCCAAGTTAGGTCAGAGGCACTCTCTTACGGGCTAAGAGTATTTAAGCGTTCAGGGTGGGAGAGCTTATCACAGGCTCGAAATGTTTCTGTGTGTCTCTTTGTCTTGCTTATCTGGAAGGGAGAGTTTTGTGTCTGTTCCCCATACATCTTCCTGCAACTGCAGGCATAGCCCCCACGTCTGCTTTTAGCTTTCCTATCTTGGTGCACCTAAAGGGAAACGAATGTGCTTATTAGGACCCACTGTTCTACTGGGGCACATGGTATGAGTGTGAAGTTTGGTGCTTACCCAAGAGACTTTCCCCTCTCTGTCTGTGCCCAGCTGTGTTATCTGTGTTTTACTATCTGCTCTTTCTGGCTGCTGCTTGTTAGAATCTCGAGAAGTGATTTCCTTGAAATGCAGGAGGTTAGAAAGGGAGCTGGCACTGAAAGTGGCAGTGTTTGTCCAAGATGAAGGTGCTCCTGCTCTGTCAAGGAGGAGGAGTTACTTCTGCGGCAGGATGAGCCCCAGGATAACCTCGGCGAAGCAAGCCACACCATCCTCTTCCTGGGTTTTCAGGCGCTTGGGGCTACCAGCCCGTCCTGAACCCAACACAGAGCTCTGAGCTGGCCAGCTGAGGGGGCCACATCACCGGACTCCCGGAGGCAGCTGCGCTTGCTGGGACACCTTCCCACATTCTGCTCTGGTGGTACCTGACCTTGTGCCAATCCAGCACCATGGACCCCCTTCCCTCTTCCTCCCACTGCCCATCACAGTTCTCACAGTTTCAGAGATGCCAGCGTGCTTTGGAGAAGTCAGAATGATCCGATATTTACTAAAGGCTTTGGTTTGGCTTCCAAGCTCAGTGTGCTTCTGAGATCACCAAGCGCTTCTGTCTGCGCAGGCCACTTCACAGATGCCTAACTGCTTCAGGGGCTACAGAGCACTTTGATTACTTTGCAATACAAAGTCCAGAGCTGTCAAAGCGCTTCCGAAGACCACAAAGGGCTTTAAGGTCCACACATGGCTGCTGGACCCATGGGCTCCCGCAGCTCGCCCACCTGCCCTGGGCTGGAAGGGGCCCAAGCGCCCCTCAGAGCCAGCCGCACCCCTGAAGGCTGCCTCCGGACAGCCCACCTGGCTGCCGAGGCCCAGACACCCGCCCTGCCTGCCCCGTTGGGCCGCCCACACTGTTCTGCCCTGCCTGACCTCTGCCCAAGATGACACCACTCTGACCTCCCCAGCGCCTGCCCTCTGGTATGTTTTTCTCTATACATACATACCTATGATAAAGATTATTTGTTAGGCTAATAATAACCAATAAAATAGAAAAACTATAACAATATATTATAATAAAAGTTGTGTGACGTGCTCTCTCTTTTTCAAAATATCCTGTATTCTTATGATGATGATGTGAGATGCCCCAGTCCCTGTGTGTGGGATAAGTGAGGGGAATGGTGTAGGCATTGTGACATAGGGCTAGGCTGCTCCTGAGCTTCCTGTGATATGTCGGGAGGGTCACGCAGCCATGACAGTGTCGGTGGTTGTGTGTCAGGAGCAGATGATGTGGCCGACTGACGGGCGAGCCACGTTTGCAGCCGGGGTACACAGGACAAAGGGGTGGCACACATCCCTGGGGGGATGGTGCAGGATGTCATCGTGCTATCAGATTGGCATGCAATTTAAAACTTAGGGAATGCTTTTTTCTGGAATGTCCCATTTAACGTTTTCTGACTGCAGCTGATTTCAGTTAACTGAAACTGCAGAAAGTGAAACCATGGGTAAGTAGGGACAGCTGTATGACTTGAACTGACACATTCGTTTTTGCTTAAATGAGTTGTGGAGAATCCACAATTCTACTGGTCTATGATGAAAGATGAAAAAGACCATGTCCTTTTCAATTTCTCCTTTAGAGAGGGGAGACCTTGTTGTAGGAGTGAATCTTGGGTGGCTCCTGGCTTTCCACTGTCCACCGATGCTCTGCTGTGTCCACACACTTTCAAGCCCTATGCCCGCTCCCACGCTTGCTCTTTATGAGTGCTTTTGTCCTGTAAAATGGCCCCACAGCAGAAGCCTAGTGTGGTAGCAGCCTGGTTCACATGAATAGGACTTTCACGGAGTAGCTCCGTTTCCAGGTGTGACTTCGGAGCCCAGCATGCCTAGTTTCATGCCACAGTGACCCAAGTGAGTCACCCCGTCTGCTCCAGTCCCCTGTCCCCAATTCCCTGTCATCTCAGCCACCCATTTTCATTTTGAAAATCAATCTCATGGAAGTTTCTATTTGCTTTTATTGCTTTCTTTGTTTTCTTGTCTATTTCCTAGTACTCATACGTGCCATTAAAAAGGTGACTGGAAAAACAGCTCTTAAAACTGCAAGAGAAATAGTATATAGGGTTTTGTGTAATAAAAAATACTGCAACTTTCCAATACTGATAAATGTGGACCCTTGGTAGGATTGTATAGTTTTTTCATGTGAAATATGAAATTCAGGATTTCTCATAAATTTAGGATTGCTTTGTAAAAATCCTTCACTGTTGGTAGGAAGTAGTTTATATTAATAAGTAAAAAAAACAAAAAGTCAATAAGAAAAAATGTAAAATAAAAAGTAAAGGTAGTTATTAATCTATAATTATTTATAATGTCAATTTTTAGAGTTAACGAATTACATGATCCAATGTACCAGTATCGAGTTGATACCGGAAATTTTCAGGTAAGGATTGTTAATGAGGCCTGCAATTTTTCTTCTTAATGCTGTTTTGTAAAATTACTGAATTTTGTGACTTAAATTGTTCTGTTGAGCTTTTTGCTAACTGACTACTTGGGAAGGACTACATAGAAAGTTCAAGGGTGGAAGATTTGGGGAAATTTTTTTTTTTTTTTTGAGTTGGAGTCTTGCTCTGTCGCCCAGGCTGGAGTGCAGTGGTGCAATCTCAGCTTACTGCAGCCTCCGCCTCCTGGGTTCAAGTGGTTCTCCTGCGTCAGCCTTCTGAGTAACTGGGACGATAGGCGTGCGCCACCACACCTGGGTAATTTCTGTATTTTTAGTAGAGATGGGGGTTTCACCATATTGGCCAGACTGTTCTCAAACTCCTGATCTCAAGTGATCTACCCATCTCGGCCTCCCAAAGTGCTGGGATTACAGGCGTGAGCCACTGTACCCGGCAGAAAAGCTCTTTAAAACAATGTTTTTACTCCCAGTCTTTGGTTTGTGGCTGACGCAGTTTGAGGCCCTGTCACTGTGGTTCTGGTCGGCTGCTCTTCCTTCCCAGTCAGGTGTCGGGGAGAACCAGCCATGTGGGCTCTGGAACAGACCCCAGGGCCCACGTCTGTTGCTGAAGGAGACACCGGAGAGCAGAGCCTTCTCGGTGCTAAACACGCTGGTCTAGTCCAGTCCCTTTGCTTTACGTAAGGTCCCAGCTAAAGTCACTTAGGTGCTTTTGAGAAAAATGATCCCGATTCCTGCTGTGCTGTCCTGTGCTCTGAGCCTTGACTGTAAGAGGGGAGCTCTGGCGCTGAGAGGACAGGAAAGGGGTGGGGGGATGGCGTGGGCCGGAGCCATCGAGGAGCGGGGACTGCGTCTAAAGACACTGTCCACCCCGCGGCCTGGCCCTTGTCAGAACCCACGGGCCTGCCCTCCCCATCACAGCTCCATCTTCAGAAAAGGGCTTTGGCTTGCTGTGACATTACAGAATTGTGCACTTTTAGACCTTAGGTCCTGTAGGGCATTTAATTCAAGCCCCTCGTGTCACAGATAAGAAAACAGAGGTCGGGAATGGTTGATGGTTAAGACGGCGCGTGGATTCCCAGGGCCTAGCCTGGGTCCTTTCTTGGACACCTGCCACCTTCCCACATGCAGGGGCAGGGTGGGGAGCCAGCCCCTCGCCCCCAGGGGCGAGAGAGACAGATAGTGGCCACCGCAGTCTGAGCACCCACTGTGCCTGGACAGGTCCCTGGTGGGAGGGGTTTGGGCTCTGCTCCGCTGATTTGCAAGGCCTGGGGTGTCGTCCACCTCAGGGGAGCTGCCTGTGCTCGCAGCGGGACTGAGCAGATGGTCCCGGCTGGGAGCCCATTGTTCTGCTTCCTGGAGGGACCTTCAGGGTTGAAGTCCCTTCTAAAAACCTGTGGCTTTCCTGCCTGTGGTGGTGCTGGGAGGAGAAGGTCACAGAGGCCCTGTTCCGACTCAAGTGCTGCCTTGTGTCCTCCTAGGGAATGAAGGTCTTCTTCATGGTGGTGGCAGCGGTGTACATTCTGTACCTCTTGTTCTTGATAGTGCGGGCGTGTTCCGAGCTACGTCACATGCCTTATGTGGGTAAGTGCTCCTTTCAGAATCGGTGCAGGGGTGGCTTGGGAGTGACTCAGGTGGGGGAAGAAGTGGTTGGAGTCTCCCAAGCCAGGGGCCTTCCTTGAGGGCCCAGGGACTGGTCCATTCCCACAGGCTGGGGACCAGGGCACGTGGTCCCTGGGAGCCACAACAGGCCTTACAGGTTACTCTGGCATTTGGGACCATCAGAGTGGCCTGGGTCCTGCGGGACTGTACCCTGCAGAGCAGGGCGAGTCACCCTGAGCTTGCGGGATCCTTTCCTGAATCTGTCCCCACCAGAGGATGGTGGCTGTGGCCTCCCTGGACACCATCCTGGCCCTGGGAAGGGACCAACGTTCTCCTAGGCTGCTGGCGACTCCGGCTAAGTCTGGAGGGAGGAGCATTTGTCCAAAGAGCTTTGCTTAATTTTTGTTTTTTATTTTTCAAAATAAAATGCAAGTGGAATTTACTTCCAGAGTTGTTAATGAGTTTCTTTCTTTTTCAGATCTCAGGTTGAAATTTTTGACTGCATTGACTTTCGTAGTACTTGTCATTAGGTAAGAAGACCTTATTTCTTGAAAACAGCAAAACGGAATTTTTCTTTTACTGTCAGGAATATCTGTTGCCTCCTTTTGTGGAGTGGATTTCAGGGTACTTCTAGCCCAGTAGACTCATGAGGTTAGAGGGCCTCCCACCAAGGCTGGGCAGCCGAGAGCAGCCGTCAGCCTGGAGAGCATGTTTTTGTTGTAAGCGGCCGAGGACTGGAGCACGTTCACTTGCACACTCGGCCCGCGCTGGGCATGTTCTGTCCTTGCTGTGCCACCTGCTATGTGTGCAGCGTGCAGTCACCAGCTGGAAGTAAGGGCACTGGGGACCTCGGGATCCTTGGGGTGCCCCAGGGACAGGACTCTAAGCGAGTTAGGACAGCAAACACCCTTGAGCAGCATGCTCCATTGCTGCCATTGGGGGAGATGGGAGGCGAAGTGGGCTTGGTCCTGTTGTGTCAGGGAGTGGCGTCAGCCTGAGGTCTCCCAGGGCAGGCTCGGCCTGGCCTGAGTGCCCCAGACCTCCCTGGGGACCGGTGCTGGCCAGTTGGTAGAGGAACAGAGCGGTCTGGGAAGTTGTTTATTTGAATCGATTCCAGGTAATTGCTTGGTGGTTTATGGTTTGTCTGTTTCTCCTAAAATCAGAATCCAGAGGAGGAAAAAATCTAGCTGCTGCTTGCCTTTTTAGGTTGTTTGGATGGCAAATAAGCGGATGTTGGCCCTTTTCCTTTATGAGTGACAAGGGGCCTCTGGGAGGTCAACCCTTGTCCAAGCTTTCCAGGTGGGCTCTGGGAGTCCCCACCTTGTGGAGGGCGAGGACTGAGATAGGCATCCAAGGTCGTCCACCACCACTAGGAGTGTGAACTCAGCTCAGACTTGGACTTGAACTCAAATTTCATTCAGCATCAAAAGTCACTCAGAATAATGCTGCATGTGTGTTGTATTAGTCTCTGTTCAGTGCTAGGTGTGCACGTTGTCTCTGTGACGTCTCATACACATGGCCATACAACCTCACAACCTCACATAGAGGCTCACTCACACCTCACTCATGCCTTCACTCACAACTGACCCACCCTCACACACACACCTTCACACACACCCTCATTTTCACACATCCTCACACCCTCACTCTCACACTCTCACACCCCCACACCTTCACTCACACACCCTCACCCTCATTCTCACCCTCATTCTCACCCTCACCCTCACCCTCACTCACACCCTCTCACACATCATCACTCACACACCCTCACTCTCAGCACACCCTTACAGCCTCTCACTCTCACACATCCTTACACACACCCTCATTCTCACACCCTCACACCTTCACTGACACACCCTCACCCTCACCCTCGTTTTCACCCTCTCTCACACCCTCACACACCCTTGCTCACACACCTTACACCCTCACTGTCACACATCCTCACACACACCCTCACTCTCACACCCTTACACCTTCACTCACACACCCTCACCCTCAAATTACCTAGTCCCCAAGTTGGGAGCTACTGTCTACTTCTGGTGGCCTCCGTCTCGGAAGTTGCCCTGCCATGTGATCTCTCTTCACATAGGTGTTAGGGGACTCATTTATCCTACAAATAGTTACTGAGTGCCTGTCCTGGCAGACAGGCTTCTCTCTGTCACGGGATTTATGTTCACACAGAGAGAGACGAGTGGCAAACAACTAAATACATTCCCCCTGCGTGCCATGCTGCAGACGAAACAAGGAGATGTGACTTGCAGAGGGGAAGGGTCCACTTTAGATGAGTGGTTTGGGGATGTATCTCTTGGAGAGGCGACATTTGGCTGAGGACCTGAGGAGGAGCCCTGAAAGCTGTGGGGTGGCTGCCCCAGGCCGCAGAACAGGGCACCGGCAGCCTGGGTGGGCGTCAGCATGGCGAGGTGGAGAGACAGCTGCGTCGCTGGAGGCCAGCGTGGCTGGAGATGAGCAGGCGTGGGCACGGCAGGAGGCAGAGCGAGCTCTTGAGTCCAGTTTCCATTCTGTGCTGGGAGACCGCCAGAGGGTCTTGAGCTGGGAGGTGAAAGGGTCTGGTGCACATGTTAAGCCTTCTGGCTGAGGGTGGCATGTGGGAGGTGAGGTGGAAGGCAGGTGGGGGAGGAGCCTGTGGACCTGTGTCCCGAGGCCTCTGTTGTCATCTGTCACCGGCTGGGAGTCTGAACCAAAGATGTTGCCTTCGCTGCTGTGCAAAGTCACTGGAACTGACCGGGGAGGCGTCCCTGTGTCTGAAAGGGGAGCTGTGACGAAGGAGAAGCAGGCTTCCCTCGGGAGAGGGGCTCTGTCACAGGAGATGGTCTCGAAAACCTGAGTTACAAAAGCAAGAGCAGGGAGGAAATGTGCCAAGGAGGCTTCAAGGCCCCGAGTAGGGAGAGTGTGATGGGGCCTGCAGCAGGGTTCATCCTGTCCCTGCAGCCGGCCGGTGGGTCTAGCCCACCTAGATCCGAGACCAAAAACCAGAAGCAGGGGCTGTGTGTGTGTGTGCATGTGTGCATCTGTGCGTGCATCTGTGCATGTGTGTGGAAGTTCCCATGCAGAAATCATAGTGTACAGACGGAAAGCTTGAATGGGGTGAATAGAGAATTCTCTGAAGCTAGTGCCGTTTTCGTGCATGTTTACATATTGTCTCTGCTCCTCTGTCTTGTTCAGCATCGCCATCCTTTATTTGAGATTTGGGGCGCAAGTACTACAAGACAATTTTGTAGCAGAGCTGTCAACTCACTACCAGAATTATATCCTTTTCACTGGAGGGCCCTGGCTGCAGGACGCCTGCTTAGCATTGCAGCAGTTAGTGGCTCAGATTTGCCCCTCTCAAGAGGAGACAGGTCAGCTCCTCGCGCCCTGTTCTCCGGAGGCCTCGTCTCTGCTGAGAGGTGTCTCAGTTGGCCCCGCTGCAGCCGTGGGAAGGGGCAGCCTGTCCCTCCTCTGTACACAGGAAGCTTGGCTCAGTAGTTGCCCCAGGTCAGGTTTCGGGTGGCAGAGCCCGGCTCCAAACCCAGAGAGGCTGGCGCTCTGGAGCGTGCCCACGCCACGCTGCTTTCCACCCAGAGGGGCAGGTGCTGTGAGGTAAATGAGGTGCGGTTGCCTCTCCACACCGCGGGGCTCCAAGCCCCTACTGCCCTCCAGCAGAGCACTGTGGGGTGGCTGAGGGCTGCCGTGAGCCTCCTGTCTCCCCCCGGGATATCTCTCTCATCATCACGGAGATGTATCCAAGGGTATGACAGTTGTGGCAGGTTGAGCCTGTGTCTGTAGGGAAGAGCTCAGAAAATACTGGGACCCCCTTCGATTCCCGCTGTGCCTGAGGCCAGTGGCGCAGGGCTGTTGCCTCCCGGGAGCCCTGGCCTCGCCCAGAAGTCGGAGAGGTTAGGTATGTGCTTTCCACTCTTTGTTGGGGACACTTCAAGAGTTAATCCTTTAGATCCTGGGTTCTTTCTTTGGGATTTCTTATGTCCCAGTTAATGCATGAATTAATATACGATTTTTTCAAAGTTTTGTGACTGAATTTCACACTAAGCTTTTATCTGATTTTCATAGGGGTCTGTAATCCAGAAATGTTCAGAGCAATTGGTTTGAGAGTTTGTTTCCAATTCTTTATTTCATTATTGTGTCTAGAGACCTTGATTCACCGTATGCCCGTGGCCTTCCTGCCCTTTTCATGTAACTTGATCTCTTCTGGCCCTGCCCTCGGTGCTGGTGACAGGAGCGCCACCAGATGGCTCAGTGGGTCCAGGTTTCCACTGATGTGAGAGGCCATAGTTCACCTGTTATTTACTGTGACCTCGAAGAGTGCTTGTGACCCCTGGCTGTGGGCTTGAACTGTGGAGTCCTGACGTCTGGGTAATGGACCCCCGGGCACTGGCGGGTGCTTGGCACTAGAAGGGGCTGCTGATGGCGGGAGGAGTGGTCGGGCTGTAGGCAGAGCCTCTGACTGATGTGTCCAGATGCCGCGTTCCTTCCCTTGACAGCACCACCAGCCGAGTTCTTATCTTTCTATGGCCTGTTGAACTTCTATCTCTACACCTTGGCCTTTGTATATTCTCCATCGAAGAATGCCCTCTATGGTAAGCCACCCTGGGGTCTGGACTGCTGGCCAGTTAGCGGGCACAGAGGCCTGTGTTCATCCACGACCCACTTCCCGGGTTTCCCATTCATGTGGGCGCTGTGATTCCCAGTGACTTCTCTTGGCAGAGAGAGAGTGAGTTGAAATGTCGAGCTCTGAGGTGAGTTGGGGCCCAGCATATGTAGAACCTGCGTTGTGTCATTCCCACAGAGTTGACACACTCATTTTATTAGTGTCAGTCCCCAGCTTTTGCTGTTCAGTTTGGGATTTTTTGACTTTACAATGATGCAAAAGCAATGCACATTCAGGAGAAATCACACTTTGAATACCCAAACAACCATTCTGTTTTTCACTTTCAGTACAGCATTCAGCAAATTCATGAGAGAGTCACCATTTATTACAAAACAGGCTTTGATCCTTTGATCCCAGCACTTCTGGAGGCCAAGGCGGGAGGATTGTTTGAGGCTGGGAGTTTGAAACCAGCCTGGGGAACAAAATAGGGACCCCATCTCTCCAAAAATTTAAAAATTAGACAGGTGTGGTGACATGTGCCTGTAGTCCTAGCTACTCGGTTGGCTGAGGAGGGACGGTCGCTTGAGCCCAAGAGGAGAGGCTGCAGTGAGCTATGACACCACTACACTCCAACCTCGGTGACAGAATGAGACCCTGTCTCTTAAAAAAAAATTAAATAAAATAGGCTTTGCATTAGATGATTTTGCCCAACTATAGGCTAATGTAGTAACACTTAAGGCAGAATAGGCTAAGCTGCAATGTTCGGTGCCTTAGCTGTAGTTGATGCGTTTTTGACTTCACGATATTTTCAACCTGACGATGGGTTTATCAGGACATAACCCCATCGTAAGTCAAGGAGCATCTGTAGTAGTGTTGTTACCATTAAAAAAAAAAAAAGCCAAAACATACAAAAAGTCACCTAATAGTGAAACCAAAACAACCCTCTTGCACAGGGAATGAAAAGGATGGGAACTCTCTAGAACATAGGCAGCCCCCCGCACCCCCCGACATCTTATAGTGGGCTAGCACTTGCCCAGCACCTTCACAAACGGCGTCTCACTTAAGCTTCACAGCAACTTTATGATAAACATATAATCATGCCCGTTTTACAGAAGCAGCAGCTCGCTGCACGTCCAAGGACTGGGCGGGGGCAGGCAGGGCAGAGCCACCTCTCCTGGGGCCTATGTTCAGCTCCCCACTCCTTGTGTCAACAGGAGGCAGCTCGTGCGTGGGCAATGGCAGCCTGCCTGCTCCTTCCCACAGGCCGCCTCCCTCAGCCTTCAGGACGTCCCTGCCAGGCAGGCCAGGCCAGCCCTGTCTTGTAGATGAGAAAACAGCCTCACGAGATGTGTTCAGGTTTATACAGACATGGCAGCTCTGCGATTTGAGTCCAGTTCTTTCCAACTCCCTTCCTTTGTCCGGGACAGCATCCTGCCTGTCCAGGCTCATCACGTCAATTGCTTGAGATGCAAATGCTCTTGTTGGTTTTCAGAGTCCCAGCTGAAAGACAATCCTGCCTTCTCCATGCTGAATGACTCGGATGATGATGTGATTTATGGGTAAGTCCCTGTCCGTTAGAAGGCCGGCACACCTTGGGCATCCCGGCACGGCCTTGCATGTTTCTGAATGGGTTACTCTTCTAAAATTATTTTCAAGGTATGAAGGCATTTACCTTGGAGTGTCAAGTGGCTCGTGGTTTTCTGTTTTCACAGTATTCAGGCTTAGATGTGGTAGTAGTCCTTTCTGCTGGCTACCTGTAGGGCGTGCTGGCCACGGGAAGAACTGTGCTTTCTGGACTGATGGGCCCTGGGAACTGGGGGTCAGGGAGAGGAGGACGGGGTGAGCAGTAGCAGTTGGTGATAGAAAATTGAAAGAGCGAAGCTATGATTTAATTCCTGCTGGAATGGTGTGTCAGTGTGGAAGAGGAAAATAAAGAGCTGTCAGAAGTTAGACGGTCTCAAAGGTCTCTTTGCTCACAGGAGTGACTATGAGGAAATGCCGCTGCAGAACGGCCAGGCCATCCGGGCCAAGTACAAGGAGGAGTCAGATAGTGACTGAGCCCCGGCCAGCCCAGCGAGGCGACAAGATGCCTGGATGCTTTCCCCGGTGACCGTCTGCTGACCTTCCCCTGTTATATTCAGATTTTTCTTACAAGCAGAGATTTCCTGTTCATTTGTTTACATATTTTTTTAAAGGAAAACCAAAACTGAGGGTAAATTTAAATGTTTAGCCAAATTTATTGTCATGGTGGCTACGAGAAGAGGCATTGATAACAAGTTTCAACAGCCAAATCCTTTTTTACAGAGATTTCAGATGAGCGTGTTTTCAGTGATGAGGAAATTTCACGTTTTTAGTACAGTGAATTATGTACTTTTTTTTCCTGTAATCATTCACTGATTCCAAGTTCACGGGCAGCCTGTGACTAGGTCCTCAGCGTGACAGCATCACCCTCTTTCTTCCCTTTTCCATGGTACTGTTTTGTGACCCTTTAAACTCAAAGGGAAGCCTTATCTGTGGCTGCTTCAGGGCAGTCCTTCCTCGTTGAGTGGCCAGTGCCCTGGGTAACCAGGTGGCTGAAGTGATTGGTCAGTTATGTGGACTGCGTTTTGTGCAGTGTGTGAGTTATGACTCATCGGGAATGGGAGATGCTGGGGTTCCAACCCTTCACGTCACCAAAGGGGAAGTAATAGTGTGGAGTTCTGAGGAGGGTTTGATAAGTTGAATAAGGAAAGGCTAAGATAATTTACAGGTTACCAACTCATGTGGGGAAGGTCTTACTGCCATGGTGCTTTTCAGGGGCCTGTGTGTACACACATGATTAAATGGATTTGCCTGTGGGAGGTATGGGCAGGAGAGGAACCCTTACCATTCCAGTAAATAGCAGTTTCTGCAATTCTGTTGAATATGAAATGCCATAGAGCTTTATTTATTTATGTAAGTAAAAGCTAAATGAGGGGCCAGGTGCAGTGGCTCACATCTGTAATCTCAACACTTTGGGAGGCCAAGGTGGGAGGATCACTTGAGCCCAGGAGTTTGAGACCAGCCTGGGCAACACAGGGAGACCCCGTCTCTATAAAACATTTAGAAAGTTGGCTGGGCATGCTGGGGCATGCCCATAGTCCCAGCTACTCAGGAGGCTGAGGTGGGAGGATTGCTTGAGCCCTGGAGGTCAAGGCTGCAGTGAGCCATGATTGCACCACTGCACTCCAGCCTGGGTGTCAGAGCGAGAACCCGTGTCATAAATAAATAAAGCTACATGAAAGATTGATAGAATATTTTAGATTATTTATTGGCCAAAAGTTTTTAAAACTCATATTTGGAAGCAAAATGAAAAGCAAGTAAAATGTTTTAAATGGTTCATGGAAAACGTATTTGGGTAGAAGGCAACTCGTGCTTCCGGAAGGGGTTCCCTGTCCTCCATGTGTCCACATGGCGGTCAGGTAGGGACGACCTGTTCTGTAAAGTCCTTGGCACTGCTGAATCTGTGGCATCATAGAAGGCCCTGGAGCTTCCCCGTTCCTTTCAGTCAGGGACTCCATATAGAGTCTCATGTGGACGTCTCCCGTGCTTTCCTCTTGACCTCTACAGTCACACTTCTGTTAACATCTGGTAACTGTGGGCAACCTGACTGATGCCGTCTTGGCAATTGAGGTCCAGAAGATGATAGTTCCGCAACGCAAGCAGTACCTACTTTTTTTCTTCATCTATGCATTGACTCTCAGATTACCATGCAGAGCTTCACGTTATCATCCACGTTAAGTAGTGCTAGGTAGGACCTTAGAGATGTTCATGAGAAACTATTTGTTATGACTTTCCTTTGTATCTTTCCTTTTAATTTAAACTTTAATGATAATGTACTTTTAATATGGATTCTATTCACATTTGTTTTAAAAACCTTGTAAATATGAATGTTTAAGACAACTTACTGCAAGGGTAATTCAAGTTTACATGATTTTTAAATTTGCAATGATGTTTTTTTTATTCTGTGTATTGAAAAAAATTTTCTGTTACCAAATTTTACAACTTCTAATAAGACTACTATAACTTTATGTAAACTGATGAAGATGTGCTGATTAACATATTCTGTGATATGGTTTACAACTTTTAATCATAATTGTCCATGATTTTGGAATGCTGTTATTTATCAGTAAATGTAAAATATTTGAGGCATTTAGCCATACACACACTAGAACTTTTTAAAACTTTGTCCTATAGTGTAATTATAAACTGATGACTATTATCTTCATACATTGAGTCTTCATGCATCAATGAAATGAAAAATATAGGATTATTTATTTACTTTTTGTAACTAAGTGGGAAATAAGAAAAAAAGTTAGAAAGTACTTAAGGGGAAAATCGTTCTTACTAAGTCATGTATTTTCAACTTGTCTTCCCTGGTATATCATAAATACCGACATATTACATACCCCATGTAAAATTTTGCTTAAACTCTCTAGCACTTGGCATGTAGAATATGTACCATAGGTATCAGGTTAAAACACTAAAGTCTGCCAGAAACTTTTGACAGTAGCAAGAAAATTGTTGAAGAAAAAATAAATTATTTACTGAGGGTAGTTATGTTAAAGTTTTGCGAACTTAAAGGGCTGACTTTAGTTCCTTCATGGTAATGGCTTGAGTAACATCATCTTTGGGATTTTTTAAATACTGGTCCAGTCTAGGAGAACCTGGAAGATGACCAGAGGTATTTCAGTTTCCCTAGGGAGAGCTTCGTTATCCATGTGGATGATAAGTCTGCTTGATTTATTATTAAATCATTATAGCAGTGAAGTGGTGCCATTTTCTCTCTCTTAAGCCCCATTTGAAAGGCTAGAGAAGGGGATATATATACTATGTTCAAGGTTTGTAAGGTTGTTAATGTACATAATTGCAGATTGCAATAAAAGCTTAGATACATTTTGTAAACCCAACCCACTAAATGAGCAGGTTACAAGACAAATGTCACCAGCCTCAAGTATTTTATGAACTATTTACTGAGGGTAGTTATGTTAAATAGATTATAATGTGGTAAATTATTTCCTGAATCCTTTATCACAGGAAAAACACAGACCCTCATAAAAGGGATAATTAAAACGGATGTGTCTGAACATTTAGTGAAGATGAGACTTAAAACATGAAAGTGTATTTGTGTATTTTGAGGGTTTTAGAAACCGGTTGCCTTAGAGGTTAGACTTTTGAAGAAAAAAAAAAAAAGATACAGATCTTTTCCCCTGGCCAAAGGGAAGTTGTATTAGTCTGTGACATCTTGTGATGCTGTTTATCTTGGTTTGACATTGGAGATACGCTAGTAACTGTGATACCATACTATAAAACAGAAGAATTTTCTGCTACTAAAAACTGCCTTTTTACAAAATGACTGTAAATATTTGTAAAATAAAATAACACTAAACTTTAAGCCCAAAAGGAGAGATAGAGCCATGTGTTCAGTTGTGGACCTGTCCGTGGGGCACAGTGCCACCCCATCACAGTGTTGCTGTCATCAGGCAAAAGTGAATGTTTGTTTATGGCAAATTCGTCTTTTGCGAATGGCTTAATTCTGACACTACCTTTCTGGGAAATGTTAATAAATTTTTAATATTCACTTCTATGTGTCTTGATTTGTTTGCTCTTTGTGTGTGGAGTTAATTTGGCCTTGCAGACATAAATGCTTTAATAAAGCGGCTTTGGAGACAACGGCAGGGCTTTTCCATTTCAGCAGGCAGGCACGGAGGTATCTTTATTGCCATGTCTAATGTGGCCTGGGGAAGAGCACTCAAGATGGAGACAAGGCGTGGGTTTGGGCCCAGCTCCCAACTTGGATGTGTGACTTTAAACCAATCAGATAACCTCCAAACACATTTTCTGAGATTTTTAAATGACTGCAAATTGTTGAAGACACAGAATGAATGATTGTGAAAACCATTTTGTAAGCTCTGAAGTACTAAGACAATTTGTGAGCCCTACAGAGAACACAGGATTAACAGTTAAGGTGTTACAGCTTTGGGCCAAGTGTGAGTTAGAGCTCTCTGGCTAAGAGAATAGAAATTGGTTTGCCCACCTCCCACCCCTTCACCTCTAGAAGAGGAGGGCTTAAGAATGGGAGGTGTGATGCCGAGGGGTAGGAATCTAACCAGAACCCAGCAGAGCCGTCAGGATCCTGGTCCCACGGGTAAAATGAGTACATCATGGAGAGGACCACAGCAGAACTTTTTTTTTTTTGGTTGTATATATATATATATATATTTTTTTTTTTTTTTTTTTTTTTTTTTTTTGAGGCGGACTCTTGCTCTTGTCACCCAGGCTGGAGTGCAGTGGCGGGAACTTGGCTCACGATCTTGGCTCACTACAACCTCTGCCTCCTGGGTTCATGCCACTCTCCTGCCTCAGCCTCCCGAGTAGCTGGGACTACAGGCGCCCGCCACCACACCTGGCTAATTTTTGGTATTTTTAGTAGAGACGGGGTTTCACCGTGTTAGACAGGATGGTCTTGATCTCCTGACCTCATGATCCGCCTGCCTCAGCCTCCCAAAGTGGTGGGATTACAGGTGTGAGCCACTGCGCCTGGTCTGGTTGTATAGATTCTGTAGCCACTCACTATGAAGAAATCGTTTATGATACTATGCAGACTATGAAGAACACAACAGACTTTAGATTTGAATAATTTATTCTAACAAAAGTATAAAGTATGGAAAATTAGTGTATTTGAATCATTTCAGAGAGTAGAGCAAGTTTCACACTAGCAGATTTCAGATTTTAGCACCTTTGAAATGAAATATTCAGAGTTAAGACAAGTGGCAACGCAGGCTGCAGGTGACCTACAGGGATACTCATCTGACTTCGGTGCCATTCACATCACAGTGCGGTCATTTGGTTTTTTCCTCTACATTGTGAAAGTGCCACAAAACAAAGAGAATGAGAAAAGAGTTCACTGAATTCATGGCTGGTGGTTAGAGGATGAACTAGAGACAAAAGGAGAAAGGCCATAGGCTGGACTGCAGGTCAAATAGACAGTCCGAAGGCACTGACGATGCAGTACATGGTCTTATTCTCCCATCGCACAGTGCAGCTCCCTGCGGGAGGGAAGAGAGCAGCATTTACGGCAGGGAAAGCTGGGGGACGACGTTTTACTCACAATAAGGCCAACATTCAAGTACCCATCTCTATGCTACACAAAGAACCTTGGCAAGTCTATTATTAAATGTTTTAAAAGGTGATAAACATGCATTGCATTCAAAGATAGGAAACTTCCAGTCATATATTTCACACAACAAAACTTCACAAACATGAATGAAAATCATACCGTCAGTAGAGCTGTCCCAGAAGCAGGAACTTGCTGTGTGTAATCCAGCTCCATTCTTCTGCATAATTACACAGGTCACTTAAGTTAAAACAAATTTTTGTTAGAGAAGTCTACTGGGTAACACAAATGTCATTCTGTCCACTTTTAGCAAACGTACAATGTATGTAGCTCCACGTGGTTGATGTTCTCGATAAAAATTATAGGGACAGATTGCCTTGTCTCACTATATTGACAAATTATAGGTGCTCCTTGACTTACAACATCCCATAAACCCATCATAAATCAACAATATATGAAAATGTAAGTTGCAAATGCACTTAATACCCTGGTAAATCCATCAAAGTTGAAAAATTCTAAGTTGAGCCACTGTCAGCTGGGGGCTGTCCACACTTCCTCTATGCTTCACTTGTTCTAAAAGCATCTGATGGGACCTCCTGTAAGATCCCGCTTCACATACGATCTGCAATTGTACCAGCAGCCAAATGGTCAAGCGTACGCTAACGTATACTACACACACGACCGACTCCCACCAGGAGCCTTCCTTGAGTTGAGCCACGTTAGCTGTTGTTTCTGGTACTGGATGCCCCTCTGATCAGTGTTAAAAAACCATCCCGCAAATATAAAAGAAACAAGACTCCATTACCGATGTATTTAAATGGTTTTCCCAGCTTGGTGAGTTGGCTTAAAGTTTGTTCTACTACATTTGTGGTCCACTGGTTCACTTTGCTGTGTTGATAAGCGTTACCACCAATTGCGCTTTCTATAGCCTAGAAAACAAAGCACAAAGCGCGTCCCGGTTAACCAAATGCACCCACACCACCTTTCAATCAGGAACTGACGGCACCCCAAGAAGTGATTTATGAAAAGTTTATTTTTAATCATGAGGGTGCCTTTGCAAATATACTTTTAATAGCATTATATTTCATTTAAATAAGTTTGAAATTTGCTTCAAAAATTCATAGTCTGTCAAATTATTTACACATTTTGACCTAATAATCACATTTCATGTTCACTACTATTAATACATTTTTTTTCCTGTTGAGGCTAGAAAGTATTTTGCCTATTCATTTCTTAAAAGTATATTACTTTTATCTACTACTACCTAACATACACTAATACTATATATTAGATGAATTGTATTTGTACAACTGACAATATACAAAGCTATCCAAATAATCATATATTAAAAAATACTTTTATCCAGCATTGTCTGAGAACATGTTACCACATTAAGTGCATTTTTCAGATAACTAAAAGCCCTTTATATTCCAAAACTTATTTTAGGTTTATGATGAGATTTTTTTATTTTTACTTTTCTGAGGCAGGGTGTCATGTTGCCCAGGCTGGAGAGCAGTGATGGAATCTTGGCTCACTGCAGCCTTGACCTCCTGGGCTCAAGCAATCCTCCCACCTCAGCTTCCCTCCTGGGCTCAAGCAATCCTCCCACCTCAGCTTGTCCAGTAGCTGGGACTGCAGGCATGTGCCACCACGCCTGGCTAGTTTTTTGTAGAGATGGGGTCTTGCTCTGTTGCCCAGGCTGCTCTCAAATGCCTGGGCTCAAGTGATCCTCCTGCCTCAGCCTCCTAAAGTGCTGGGATTACAGGCATAAGCCACAGCACCCAGCCCAACTTTTTTTCTTTATTATACGTTTACTTCTTTATCTATGCTGTATTCTTTGGGGGTTATCTGACAATGCAAGCTCATTGTCGCTGCTCTTGCTAAGCTTATCATTATGATATTGCCATTGTATGATTTTCTGAGTTTTTCATTGTCAGCTCCCCTTTCACATGGATGCCAGTGTGCTTGCATCTCAGCAACTTTATTCTCTACCCCTAACTTGCTGTGCTGGAAACCAGGAACCTGAGTTTCTATGACAGTTATGACCTAAAGTGAAAATAACAACATTCAGTGAGGGCCAAGGTCTGTCCTCAGACAGGCAGAGCAAACCAGCAGTCCAGGGATCTGAGCTGTGCATGGTGGTGATGGACTGGGATCTGATGCCTGGGGCTTAGATCTGGCGACCTTGCTTTTGAGGACCTAAAACCTCCCTAGGTCACTCTGATTTCTACCCACTGACCTGCTGATCATCTCCCTGAGACTCTTGAGTAGTCACGTTACACATAGGGCTGGCTTACTTCTTGTCCTCGGCCACTGTGCTCCCTCCCAGCTCAGAGGCTACAAGAGGGCTGGGGGGCCAGAAGTCCCGGTTTAAGAGAACAGCAGTATTACTAGACCTGGGCATTGTCAAAGGGTAGGGGGGGCTTTGTTCAAGCTAAACCTCTCCCGTCAAAGGGTGGGGGAGGCTTTGTTGAAGGTAAACCTCTCCCTCCGCCAGCTCTCCCTCCGCACATACTTTGAAATTCAGTTTTTCAAGGAGGAGGGAACCCTCCACCAATTTTGGACCTGCGCAAATTGACTACTACCCAATATTTAGGGTCACTTGAGTACAGAATTACCTATTGCGGCGGCAAAAAAGCTGTTGAGGCCAGTGACACAAGTTCAAGTAACACTGCAATGTCACCTCATGTTTCCATGTGGATTGGAAATGTGTTTGTTTTGTTTTGTTTTTTTAAGACAGAGTCTTGCTCTGTCGCCCAGACTGGATTGCAGTGGCGTGATCTTGGCTTACTGCACCCTCCATCTCCCGGGTTCAAGCGATTCTCCTGCCTCAGCCTCCCAAGGAGCTGGGACTACAGGCATGCGCCACCAAGCCTGGCTTATTTTTGTATTTTTAGTAGAGACGGGGTTTCACCATGTTGGACAGGATGGTCTCGATCTCTTGACCTCATGATCCGCCCACCTCGGCCTCCCAATGTGCTGGGATGACAGGTGTGAGCCATCGCGCCCAGCATGGAAATGTGTACTTTCAATTGCACTTGCTAATTGAAAGCTGGTAACCAAGTCAAAGATAAGGCAGAAAACAACTGCGGCAGAACTAGACTTCCCAACAAGCCCCCTCCACTGTTCCCAGTTCTGGTGTAATCCACCCACCTTCCTGCCCCCTGCTGTGTTCCACGTGAAACTGTGTATTTAGAAAAACCATGAAAACCAAACGTACAGATCCTGCAAAGCAACCAGAAAGTCACTCCTGATGCTGAACAATGTAAATGGTCAAACAAAATCATTTTGCCTTTGGATACTGATCACAAACATAGGTTGCGGTTTTTTATCAAACACTAGTCAATAATTTACATTAAATTCTAAATTACATCTGAAACCCCAAACAGTATCATTAAATTCAGATCATCTAATAGTTTTCTTTTAGCCAATGGCTTTAGTATCTGTGCCCCATTTTACCCAGGGAAGGCAGGGAAGCTGATGAGGAAAACTCTTTCTGGCTTCATTCCTACCCTAGGTAGGAATGAGCCCCTAGCTCTCAGCACCGCTCCAGCCACACCCACCTCCTTTCACTCCCTCACACACCATGCACTGCCCCCACTTCCCAGTCTCAGGGGGCCTTGTCCCCTCTTTTTACTGCATTACCCCTACTTCTCATTCTGCAGATTTCAGCTCGAAATGGTCCCTGAACTCCCTGGGTGGGTCACATTCCCAGTTCAGTGCTCTCACAGCACCACCACTAGTGGCACTTACCACACAGCAAATGCAGGCTGACACCTTCCAGCAGGACTGTTTGATGTGTCTGCCCTGCCTGCCCCTCAGCTGTAAACTCCAGAAGGGTCTATGCCCTGCACGCTCCCTCAGTGTGTACTTTCTGAATGAGTAACAAACATCCCTTCTGTCTCTCTTCCTCTTCATGATCAACAACACAATAAAGTGTGAAATTTAGGAATGTAAGAAAAGTAAGCAAATAGGCCCCAAACTGGATCACTAGGTCCAGAATAACTGGAAATTGATTGTTCAATTTTCTTATACTCACTCTTTCTTCATTCAACCCTGGAGACATTTATTTGTATACCAGGATTCTTTTATGCTTAAAAGATTATAGAATCAAATCTTGGTGATATGCAGTAATAATGCTATGTACATAAAACTCCTTATCTGATTTAAAATATGTAATTTACATAATATAGAAGCAACTCTTATCTAGCTATTTACTGAAGTAAAAACTGTTATTTGAAACACCAAAACACACAGACTCAGTCGAAACAATTCCAAGATAGTATTTAAAACACATTATTTTCTCTAATATAAGCCATTAAACATTTAAGAAGTGAGCATTTCTCCTCTTACCTCTTTTACAATGTTGCTCACTTCATCAACAACAAAAGCAGTCTGTAAGGAAGAACATTCAGTTAAGTTTGATTTATTTAAAAGATATTTCCACTACATTGATAAATGCAAATGTAGGTAATGAACATAATGTAGAAATGAAGACCTTAGAAATAATCTAACTAGACTGTTCAGCTTTACCAAGGATGGCATTACAGTCTTCAGAAACCAGAAGACTAGAATACATGCACATAATTTAAAGGTATTGTTTTATTTTTATTTATTTATTTTTGAGACGGAGTGTCGCTCTGTAGCCCAGGCTGGAATGCAGTGGCGCAATCTCAGCTCACTGCAATCTCTGCCTCCCAGGTTCAAGTGATTCTCCTGCCTCAGCCTCCCAAGTAGCTGGGATTACAGGTGCCCTCCACCACACCCGGCTAATTTTCGTATTTTTAGTAGAGATGGGGTTTCATCATGTTGGCCAGGCTGGTCTCGAACTCCTGACCTCAGGTGATCCTCCCGCCTCAGCCTCCCAAAATGCTGGGATTACAGGCGTAAGCCACCACACCTGGCCCTGTTTTGTTTTAATCATGCCACAATCTAAGACTTCACTTTAAACTAGAATTCATTCTCTTCTTCCATTTCAACTGGCTGCTAGAATCATTAACCAATAGAGAGGCTTAATGAGTTGGTTGATTTTTGTATAAATTAACTGAAGCTGCTGAAGTAATCCATTTAAGATGTAATTCTCTCTTCCATGATGTAAACTGATTAGGAGGATCAGTTTGACCTTGAGGAGATTTTTTTAAAGCACCATTACTTGTAAAATGTACGATGATTACATTATCTCCAGGTAATTATTTTTCTTTCCCAGTGCTGCCCTCCGACTCCAGGACTAACCACCAGCTGCCAGCATGGCTGTTCTCTGTCAGTGTCTGGATGACTCAGGAGGTGGGCTGCCTGCAGGAATCTAGTGCCAGGAGTATAGTTTTCCTTTTACACATGGTAGATCTGAATGGGTAAAAGGTCATCCTGAAAATAACATTAGTCAGGCACTTGCCTGCCAATGTGCTCTTCACATGAGCACAAGCGTTTAAAGTTACTGCTGAGTCCCAGGAAAGGTACGTAGCTCTGGACACGCCTTCGAGAGGGCAACCCCTGGGGCCCTCAGTCAACGTGCATCCTGAGGGAATCAAGGCAGAGAACCCTGACTTGGCAGTGAGTCTTCCTCCCTGTCTGGCTGCTGTCCACTGCAGGCCCTGCCCTTTCTTTTTAGGGGGTTCAGGAGCTGACTGCCCGAAGCCACCTCACTTGCTGTACTCAGAAGTCGGACTTGGAAACAAAACCAACTCACTGAGTGAAGAACAATTTGCAATATCTTAGAGATTAAGTCATTTCTGGAAGCTTAAAGGATCCTTCCAAGTGACTACCGTGACCTTAATCACAAAGGAAAGGCACTGTATCACCTCCCATATGGTTACAGTACGAAAAAGGTTGAGGGACATTTTAAAGAATTTTTAGTGGAAAGCAGAGTTGTATTGAATCCAGTGGATAGTTTTAACGTCTCCAAGAAAGATGAATGGTGAGTTGAGAGAATAGTTACAAAGGCCCAGGCATCTACACGAAGTTAGAAGAGATGCAGAAAAGGCTGCTAAGAGGCTGGTGGGAGGACCAGAACGGGCCATTCAGTAAATACCTAAGACATGCCTACTACAAGACAGCCATGGTCTCCACCTCCCAGGGCCTCCATCCCAGGTAGAACACTCATCACTCTGTCCAGCCCCTTCATTTTACACATATGCGATTGAGATCTCGAATAATGAAGCCACTTAGCCACCTTATTTGTGGGAGTCAGAATCGGACTGCAGTATTAAGCGCTTTCCTTTACAAAGCGATTTCTTTTTTAGAAGTTTTACTCGATATTACTGTAATACAAGACATTTTCCAATATTATATTAGTAACAGTTTAAGGGGAAAGGCTTTTTTCTTTGCCAACTGCTCCTGAACCAGCTCTTCTCGTCATTATTCACTTGGTTGCCATCAGCATTCAAACACTGATTATGCCACTGTCACAGGAAGTGTGTGCTAGTTAGGAAATCAGATCAAAACTGAAACTCTAGAATCAGTCCTTAAGTTTTAGTTTTATTTTCCCTGAAAACATTCCTCCTTAAACGAAATTTTTTTCTTTTTTTTTGGTTTTTGAGACGGAGTTTCGCTCTTGTTGCCCAGGCTGGAGTGCAATGGCGCGATCTTGGCTCACGGCAACCTCTGCCTCCCAGGTTCAAGGGATTCTCCTGCCTCGGCCTCCCGAATAGCTGGGATTACAGGCATGCGCCACCACGCCCGGCTAATTTTGTATTTTTAAAAGAGACGGGGTTTCTCCATGTTGGTCAGGCTGCTCTCGAACTCCTGACCTCAGGTGATCCGCCCGCCTAGGCCTCCCAAAGTGCTGGGATTACAGGCGTGAGCCACTGCGCCCAGCCACTAAATTTCATAAATGGTAAGATATCCAACCTTACCAAATGTATCTATAGTTTATATTTTTGACAGGCTGCATAATAAATCCATAGGGCTCTATCTGAATTTCAACAAGGATTATTCAGTAAGAAGAAAATGAGTGTTGTATCTCAGCTGCGCCCATCAGCTCTATTCCCCGAATGACCGTGAGCTTGAAGGAAAGCCATTTAACGCACACGGTGCCGATGGGTGTCTTCTGCTTGGCGACATCGTGGGCTTTATCCTACTTCCTCAAGGAGGCATAAAAGATGATTTTTTCCCCACAACAATGAGCTTTCTTACAGACATATTAAACGGAAATGAAATGTGCTACTCATTCCCAGCGTTGCAGAACCAGGTGAGGCCCGAGACAAAGGCGCGGGATGGCCGGGACGCCAGCCCGGGGCGGAGGGGCTGGCGGCGGGAGCGTCACCCGCACCTCCGCGGGGAGACGTCCAAGCCTCGGCGCTCCCAGCCCGGCCGCCGCGCCCCGCTCCAGGCTGGGGCTGGGGCTGGGGTCAGCCCCGCAGAGCAAGGGGCGGTGATGTCATCCTCTCGGCGAGCTTGGCTGCGGGCCGGAGGCGAGGCCCTGCGGGAAGGTTTCTCGGCACCGCTCACCGGGGCGCTCTCTCCGAGTCACGCCCGGTGCCTCCCCGCGCGGGAAGAAGCTCAATCCCCTTCCCGCCCCCCGCGCCGGGGAAACGGCGGCAATGTCCGGGCAGAATGGGGCCGGGCGGAGCGCCGGCGACCGGGAAGCTCAGGCCGTGGGCTGCCGAGACTGGCCTAGCTGAAGGAGGTGGGCAGCCAGGCCTTTCCGGGCAGGACCGCGTGTCCTTCCGCGGCCAGGGCTCTAGGCCTCCACCCTTCCGTCGCCGACCCGGCGGTTACCTCCTCCGCAGCCTGGTAGTCTTCCATCTTTCCTCCGGCGCGTCCCCTCCGGCTCCCTGAGTGGCGCGGACTGCGCAGGCGCACTCAGGCCCCGCCCCGGACCTGCCACGCCCCTCTCCTCTCGCGCCTGCCTCGCCCATGCCCAGCTCCCGGGCCCCGCCCTTCGCTGCCCGGACCCTCAGTGACCCCATCCCTGGGCGGGGCCCGTGGGTGGACCCTGAATTCGCCTCTCCTCCTGTCCTCTGGGAGGTGGTAGTTTCCATGGGAATCCGTGAGGGTAGCCGGGCAGCTCCCTAAACCTTAGCAACAGAAACAAAACACACGTACAAAAGGCAGTCCTGGAGGGGAAGCGTGGTCCCGGCCCCTCCTCCGGTTTGTACTGTGTGGATTGACGCGGACGTTCAAACCCGCTCGGACACCTGGCAACAAACTCGAAAGTGACTGCTGAAGGCAGTGCGCCCGGTGAGACGTTGTTGCAGTTCCCTTGGGGACTGGGATTGGCATGCTTTAGCTATCTGAACGAAACTTCCCTTTGGGGAGTTAAGTTTTCCAGGTAAATGAGAATTTTTCCTTTAAGCACCATTAAAAAAAAACATTTTGGGTGGAAAATTTTGTAAAATGTGGCACACTTCCTGACTACCTTAACCATAGTGAACTAGACAGACTTTATTTGTATGTGGGTTCTTTATGGAAATTAGGAATTGCACTGGGCTCTGGTAAACTGCCCTCCACGGAAAGCTGGGGCATATGCATCTATTGGCAGGTATTCTGAGGCTCCGAGTTTTGATTTTGGCGTTTGCTTTTTCTGGTTTCGTCATGCACTTGAATTCAGGTTGCTGGAACCCACTTCCCATTCCCCAAGAAAGAGCTGACTGCAAGGGTCCCAGGGATTTGGTAGACCTAAACTTCAAATCCCACATCTAATCCATCAACAACCCTTGTTATTTCTACCCCATATGCTCGGGACCCCAGTTAAAGATTGATATCTCTCATCTGGATTATGACCATCGGACTGTAACCTGGTCGGTCTATCAGGGTCTTATTAGAGCCCTTCAAGAGGAACCTAACCCAACGACTCCTCCCTCCCCTCACCCATTCTGCCCTGCCATAAGTCAATAGTTACTAAGTTGTCAGACTATAGACTAATCTTAGTGATCTTTGGATGACTAAACTTTTAACATATCTTAGCTCAAAATCTCCTACAGAGAGCCATTCTGTGACCACGGCATCTAAGGTAGCCGACCTCCTCATCCTCCACCCCTGCATCCTGTACATTTTCCTCATAGCACTTCTCTCAGTTTGCAAGAACGTATTTATGGTTGCTTGTTGATGGTGTGTCTCCATTTAGAAACTAAGTACCATGCAGGAAGGATCTGTTTTATTCACTAATGTATCCCCTTCCTTCCACATTGTGCCTGGCACATAATAGCTACACAATTAACATTTATTTATTTATTTATTTAGAGACAGGGTGTCATTCTGTTGCCCGGGCTGGAATGCAGTGGTGTGATCGGAGATTTTGAGCTAAGATGTGTTGAAGTTTAGTCATCCAAAGACCACTAAGAGCTTGAACTCCTGGGCTCAAGGTATTCTCCTGCCTTAGCCTCCTGAGCAGCTGGGATTCCAGGCACTAGCCACCACACCCACCTATTTTTTTAATATGTCTTTTGTAGAGATGGGATCTCACTGTGTTGCCCAGGCAGGTCTCAAACTCCCGGGCTTAAGGGATCCTCCAGCCTCAGCCTCCCAAAGTGCTGGGATTATAGCTGTGAGCCACCATGCCCGGCCTAAAATTTATTGCATGAATCATTTCCCTCATGGGTGTTAGCTTTGCCTCAGACCCAAATGGAGAGAACTGGGGAGTGGAGGAAGATGCAACTACCTGCCTCCTTGAGGGAAACAGGGCTGGCGAGAGGAGGGCAGAGCCCTGACTGACACAAGGCTGCTTGGCCCTGGGTGTTCGGCCTGAGCGAGGAGACTTGCTGGGCAGGCTGGTTGCTTTACCACACCTGGTCTTCCTCTCCTTGGATTCTGAACTTTATCTACCTTTTGAATTCCTTTCTTATTACCTGGCTTCAACTCCCCTGTCCTGGTGTTTCAGTCGTGCGCCTCAGTCCACATGTGATTCTGATGCTGACATTGCTTTGCCTGCCTGCCCTTCTCAGTATCACCTGAGATCTCGTTTTGGATGTTCTCTGCCTACCTGGTTCCAAGCTCTTGGCCCCACCACGATCCTGAGCCAATCAGGAGCCTCTGAAATCTTTTTTCTTCTGCTACTTTGTTGTGGACCTGGAGTTCAGTAGCTAAGTGTCACAGAATTATGTGCAAAGCAAGAGTAAACCGGTTCTGAGCAAACACCTGCAATGGAAGAACATGACACTTGGGACAGCCTTTTCAATTTTCCCCACAACCTTTTAGGAACTTCCTAATTTAAATCAATTTCCTGAATGTCTGCTAGGATGGTGCATAATTAATGCATGGATCTTGTTATAACTGCGGATCACCAGCATGCACATAAATCAACAGAAAACATGCAAATGTGCATTTTAAAAATGCTTACATGATTTTAGCTTTTATACATTGGGTACCACTCTCCAATTTTAACTATTAAAGAACATTTGTTAAATGATCGCGATGTATGACATTTTGAGGCTGCCAGTAAACGGATGAGCTGGTCTGTTTATCTTCACAACTATCTGTTCACTTGTTCAATACACATATATGGAGCACTCCCTTTGTGTCAGGCTCTGAGCTGGGGGTTGAGGCTACAAAGTTGACTAAAACATGGCCTTTATGGAATTTTTTCTTTTAAACGGATATATCTGTAAATAGGAGGGTTTGAATTCTCTAGGCTTATGTGATGTTGTAGTGCTTGGAAAAATGCAGTGATGTGGTATTATATTCTGCCCAACTGATGTAGTCTGTAGGGCTAAGGAATTTAAAATCGTTAAGACATTTGGCAGTTCACCAGATGCCATTTCCAGCACCTTCCATCTGCCACGAATGGATGTCCATCAGAAGCATTGGAGCTCAGACACCTTTACTCGTAACTGCTCATGAATCTTTGGCATTCTGCCATATTTTAGAATAATGTTTAGTTTCTATGCAGTAAGTCAGTGGAGTGAATCTTAGGTTTGTTTTTCAATTTGGAGGTTAGTGATAGGTTGGCAGGTTTGCGTGCAATCACCTTTCTTTTCTGGAGTCAAATTTCTTGAATACAGACTGTGGGACTGGAGCTGCCAATACCTTTATTTAGCAAGTGTGGGCCTAATAATCATAGCAATCAATGAACTGTCACATCAATAAATAACATCAATAATATCCAGCAGTGGCTGGGCGCAGTGGCTCACACCTGTAATCCCAGTACTTTGGGAGGCTGAGGTGGGCAGATCACCAGAGGTCGGGAGTTCGAGACTAGCCTGACCAACATGGAGAAACCCTATCTCTACTAAAAATACAAAATTAGCCAGGCATGGTGGTGCATGCTTGTAATCCCAGCTACTTGGGAGGCTGAGGCAGGAGAATCGCTTGAACCCAGGAGGCAGAGATTGCGGTGAGCTGAGATAGCGCCATTGCACTCCAGCCCGGGTAACAAGAGCGAAACTCCGTCTCAAAAAATAAAATAATAGGCCAGGCGTGGTGGCTCACGCCTGTAATCCCAGCACTTTGGGAGGCCGAGGCGGGCGGATCACGAGGTCAGGAGATCGAGACCATCCTGGCTAACACGGTGAAACCCTGTATCTACTAAAAATACAAAAAATTAGCTGGGTGCGGTGGTGGGCGCCTGTAGTCCCAGCTACTCGGGAGGCTGAGGCAGGAGAATAGCGTGAACCCGGGAGGCGGAGCTTGCAGTGAGCCGAGATCGCGCCACTGCAGTCCCGACTGGGTGAAAGAGCGAGACTCGGTCTCAAAAAAAAAAAAAAAAAAATAATAATAATAATAATATCCAGCAGTGTTGTTCTGCTATAATCTGCAGCCCTTCATAGTCCAAATGCCATCCTGTGGATTTTCCATTTTTTCCTTTCTTCCCCTGTGCCAAGAAGTGTGTTACTATGAGATCATGCTGAGTCAAAATAATAGTAACAGAAGAAGACGATGAGGACGAGGGTGCTGTTGAAACACTCATGGCTGAGGAATTTAATGTTGTAAAGGAAAAGAAACTCTGGCTGACACATATCTAAAGTGAGAGTCCTGTGCTGAGAAAAGCTAAAGAGATTAGCTAAGAAGTGCCTATATTTAGATCTGCTATTGAGCTGGGAAGCGGAGGCACAGTTGTGCTGAAATACCTCTGTACCCCATGAAACAGTGGCTGCTCTGAGCTTCTTGGGTCCCTCTTCCTCTCAATCCTGGTGACTGCAGCCCCTTCCCTGGGACCTCATCCCCAAGATCCAATAACTAAAGGATAACTCGTGGTATAGCAGGGCCTCCGCTGGCATTTGTTCCAATGGGTAAATATTCATGCTATAGTAGTTATTAAATAGTTTGGTGCTCAGTTCTGTGTTTGTGAAAACACTACACACTACATCAGCAGAATAGGCTAGGTTAGCTGCAGAAACAAATGGCCCTACACTCTCAGTGGTTGATGACAGCAAACATTTATTTGCCACTCACACTCCATGACCATCAAGGATCTTCCATGGCTCTGCTTCATGTCTTCTCCATGCTGAGACGAGGTTGCTGGAGCAGCCTGTGTCTGGAGTCATCAAGGGAAAGAGAAGGGAAAGAGAATGAATGGTGGCCCCAGTACTGGCTCGGTAGGTGCCAAGCCTACGTGGCACGTGGCACCTTTGCACACACTTCATTGTCTTATTGCTCTCCAGAGCAAGTCCTTGGCCATGCCTGAGTTAGCAGGGCAGGGACACTTCACGGTGCTGAGTAATACTACCTAGTACACGCACAGCATTTTGAAGGTTCCCCTTGGTGATTTCATTACAATCTTCATCGCTCTTGGCCTGGCTGTCCCCCTTTCTTGTAAATTATTCTTGAGTTAATAGCTGTTCTTTGAGATGTGGTTAGTCATTTACACTGAAGTCAATGTGAAACCCTTCACAAATGTGAGAACATTTGAATATTTGAAGGCTGTAGTCTCTGTAGGGAGTTTCCTTAGGAAGGGTGAAACATTTCACCAGCATCAGCCTGGTCTTTCCTCCAGCTAAAAATGTAAAATGTTGGCATAGAAGAGCTCCTTGATGTGGTTTTGGGGTGGCTTTGCTCCCTGGGTCCCTAGTGATGTGGGAGTAGCCACCGAGGCATGTAAGGCTGGCCACACAGGGTGCACTGCGTCAGCCTGTGCCCGACAGGAAGGGAAGAGAAATACGTCAGTTACTCTAACAAGAAGAATTGACTTCCTTCTCTGCAGAGCCGGCTCTGGTCTCTTCTCTTGAAGCAGATGCGAAGGTAGGATGAGAAGGCATGGCTGGCCGTTGCAGCAGGTCGTTTTAGGAGTGGGGGAGTGGGGTGGGTAGAGATTATAGTTATTGTAACTTTTCTTAAATTTATGACATTGAAAAGGTAGGAAACAAAACATAATAAATTAGATAAAAGATATCTTGTAATTTTATTGAATAACATACATTTAACATTTGAGATAATAATGATTTAAGTGATATGGTGGAAGTGACTTCAGAGTTAATTAAAAACCAAAACAAAACAGAAAAACACTATCCAAAAGCTATATGGTGTGATTTTTTTTTTTAAAGGGTAGAGTGTCATTTGCTTTCTTCTTTGGTTTGCAAATTCTTATACTTACAGTTTATTACTATTTTGCTCTCTCTGAATCGACTTTATTGTTTTGATCATCCGTAATTTCTCGTTTGGAGGTGGAACATAAATATCATTTTGGAATTATAAAAAAGTTAGCTAGGGTCTAATTTAAATTTCTTTTAATTAAGCTTCCTTAATCTCTAAATTGCTTGGTAAGAAAGAGACTATGAGAGGAAAGTGCACATTAGATATTAAAGATTTATTAAATTAGAATTGGGCTGGGTGCGGTGGCTCACGCCTGTAATCCCAGTACTTTGGGAGGCCAAGGTGGGTAGATCCCTTGAGATCAGGAATTTGAGACCAGCCTGGCCAACATGATGAAACCCCATCTCTAAAAAAAAAAAAAAAATACAAAAATTAGCTGGGTGTGGTGGCAGGCACCTGTAATCCCAGCTGCCCAGGAGGCTGAGGCACGAGAATCACTTGAACCTGGGAGGCGGAGGTGGCAGTGAGCCAAGATCCTGCCACTGCAATCCAGCCTGGGCAACAGAGTAAGACTCCGTCTCAAAAAAAGAAAAAAAGAAATTAGAATTGGTGTAGAAAAGATTATTTAGCCAAGATAGTTGGAGATTCTAACTTAGCTGCTTTGCCTAAATGAAGCATAAGGTTTTGGAGTTAAACAGACCCAGTTTAGAGTGTGAGTTTAGGTAAGTTACTTAATCACTCCAAGACTCACTCTCCTCATCTGTAGAATGGGTACATTTACTTCATAATGTGGCAATAAGGATTAGTAGAGATAATGTATGCAAAGTACTTAAACTATCTGGTTCAGAGTAAGAGCTAAATAAATAGTAGCTGTTGGCACAACAGAAAGCATAACAACAATTGTGAGTAGTACCTAGAAGGATATAATAATATTAATTCTCGGCCGGGTGTGATGGCTCACGCCTGTCATCTCAGCACTTTGGGAGGCCTAGGCGGATGGATCATGAGGTCAAGAGATCGAGATCATCCTGGCCAACATGGTGAAACTCTACTAAAAAATACAAAAAAATTAGCTGGGTGTGGTGGCGGGCGCCTGTAGTCCCAGCTACTCAGGAGGCTGAGGCAGGGGAATTGCTTGAACCCGGGAGGTGGAGGTTGCAGTGAGCTGAGATCGCGCCACTGCACTCCAGCCTGGTGACAGAGCGAGACTCCATCTCAAATAAATAAATAAATAAATAAATAATAATATTAATTCTCATTTCTTTGCTCTTCCATACAAAGAGGTCAAGTTTAAAGTATGAATGCCATGGCTTCCTATTTCAGTCATGAATTCCTATTTCTGATTCTAAAGTAATATTTTTTGTTGTTTTTGGGTGGTAAAAGGCTCCCCGAATGAGAAAGAATACTCGGAATCAGCGGTGAATTGCAGTGATCTTTCAGAGAAAGCGCCTGTTCAACTTTGTCCTCTCTCAGGTAGGCTTCAAGTTTTATAGATTCAAGCCCACGTGTGAGTCTTCTAATGTTTTATTTATTTATTTATTTATTTTTATGTATTTTTATTTTTTTTTATTTATTTGAGATGGAGTCTCACTCTGTTGCCCAGGCTGGAGTGCAATGGCACGATCTCGGTTCACTGCAACCCCTGCCTCCCAGGTTCAAGTGATTCTCCTGCCTCAGCCTCCCCGGTAGCTAGGATTACAGGTGCCTGCCACCATGCCCAGATAATTTTTGTATTTTTAGTATAGATGAGGTTTCACCAGGTTGGCTAGGCTGGTCTCAAACTCCTGACCTCAGGTGATCCACCCACCTCGGCCTCCCAAAGTGTTGGGATTACAGGTGTGAGCCACCGAGCCCAGCCTGTTTATTTATTTACTTATTTTATTATTATTATTTTTTGAGACAGAGTCTCACTCTGTTGCCCAGGCTAGAGTGCAGTGGCTGCAATTTCAGCTCACTGCAAGCTCTGCCTCCCGGGTTAACACCATTCTCCTGCCTCAGCCTCCGAAGTAGCTGGGACTATAGGCACCTGCCGCCACACCTGGCTAATTTTTTTGTATTTTTAGTGGAGACAGGGTTTTAACATGTTGGCCAGGATGGTCTCCATCTCCTGACTTCATGATCCACCTGCCTCGTCCTCCCAAAGTGCTGGGATTACAAGCGTGAGCCACCACGCCCGGCCTTATTTATTTTTTTGAGACAGAGTCTCGCTCTGTCACCCAGGCTGGAGTGCAATGGCGCGATCTCAGCTCACTGCAACCTCCACCTCCCAGGTTCAAACAATTCTGTCTCAGCTTCCCGAGTAGCTGGGATTACAGGTGCCCACCACCATGCCCGGCTAATTTTTGTATTTTTAGTAAAGACAGGGTTTCACCATGTTGGCCAGGCTGGTCTCAAAACTCCTGACCTCGTGATCCACCCACCTCAGCTTCCCAAAGTGCTGGGATTACAGGCGTGAGCCACCGCACCCAGCCGAGTCTTCTAATGTGAAGTAGAGATATCTGAGGGACCTGAAACTTGTACAACTTGTGGAGACTTTGGGAAAACAAAGAGGGAACCAGGTACAGGGCATCTAGGGCCTTGGACAGGGCCGTGCAAATAAAGGATTCTGAAGTTGAGGTGTCATTCGCTTCCCAGAAAACCCACCTCTGAATGAGTAACAAGATAGACAGAAAATGTATAAACGCACATCTTCATTTCTGTGTCAGACTTTCTGATGGATATGCATGCGTGCTGTCTCATTGTTGCAAAAATGAGTCTTTTAAGCCTATGAATAGGGAACTGAGCTGAGAGCTGTTCTTTATTCATCACCTTCCTTTGTGGCTGTAATCAGCTTCCGTAAAGAATCTATGCAAGCAGGCCGGTCGCAGTGGCTCACACCTGTAATCCCAGCACTTTGGGAGGCCACGGTGGGCAGATCACCTGAGGTTGGGAGTTTGAGACCAGCCTGACCAACATGAAGAAACCCTGTCTCTACTAAAAATACAAAATTAGCGGAGGATGGTGGTGCATGCCTGTAATGTCAGCTACTCGGGAGGTTGAGGCAGGAGAATTTCATGAACCTGGGAGGCGGAGGTTGTGGTGAGCCAAGATCGCGCCATTGCATTCCCGCCTGGGCAACAAGAGCGAACTCCGTCTCAGAGAAAAAAAAAAAGAATCTATGCAAGCAAAAAAGTCATGAGGTTTTCAGGTAAAATTTCAAGGACAATGCAGTCACTCAACTTTTCCCCTGTGTACGAGGCAGAAAGCATGGTGGCTGCACGCTGAAGCTGTGAAACTTCTCAAGGAAATAGCTGTGGTAAACAATACAGGAGCGAGCTGCCGCCCGCTTGAAATGACCTGCAGGGCTGTGGCTTGTGGGCTTTGAGAACGTTCTGTAGTCTTCCCTTGAAAGCGTGTGTGGTGATGACAGTCACATTCACACGCACTCATGCTACCGCAGATCTCTGCATTTCCACTCTGGTGACGTTTCCCCCGTACCAGGGAGGGCTGAACATTTATTTCCTTTGATCTGATGACTGACTGCTCAGAGACAATAGATGATTGGATGAAAGAAATAGGGGCCCCTAAGAATAAACAATGTGTCCCTTTCCCATCCTCCTCATCTCTTTTCTTCATTGGTTTTACTTTTCTTGTACTTTTCCCCTTTCACCAGATTTAGAAGCCAAAGTCAAGATTTGCTGTTAGGCTGAGGAAAGCAAGCAGGCATTGTTTCAAACTCCTAGTGCATGGCTGACTATTTCAGTCCCCTGGCGGAGCTGTCCCACACGTCTCTCCCTGGGAAGCCCTCCCTGGTCCCACCAGCCCTCTCTGCTCCTGTGTGGAGTGACTCTTGCCTTCTGATCCTTGGGTTTTGTACTCATCCCACCATGTTATGAGTTATTTGTCTGTGTGTCCATGTTCTGGCTGGGATGGGTCCTTCTTAAATGCAGAGATTGAGTCTCACTTCTTTTTAGATCCTCGATATCTGGCACGTGCTTGATACATAGAGGCCAATAAAATCAGTGTTGAACTGACACACTCAATGCCGTAACCAAACTGTGTTTGTCTGGATGCCGAAGTTCCACTGGGATACAGCATGACCAGATAAAGACCAATGGAAACACCTAGATTGAAGTTTTCCCCATGGCTGCCCGCGTCCCTCCCAATCCCAGAACAGTGGCTTAACTTCCTACTCTTGGGCCTTCCTGAAGGGGAGATGGAAGGGTAGAAGAAACCCTTTTGAGTCGGGCTTGCTTTGTTCTGGCTGTTGCTCTAGGGCTGTGCCTGGATGACTCAGTGAGTTCCCCAAACAGCCCTGTGAAGCAGGGATGGCTCCATGTCACGGAGGAGGAAGGCCAGTCTCCCAGAGATGAAGCAGCTGGCCTGAGAGCACGTGGCTGAGTCCTGGCTGGGTATGAGCCCAGACTGTCTGGCTCCAAAAGTGACACAGAGACAGGATGGCTGAGTGTCGGGGGGGCTTCTCCACATGGCTGTAGGAGAATGTTTCCTTCCAGGTGGTGCTGTGGTGTGGGATTTATTCATTTTTAATTGCCAGATAAAATCAGGCTGATCGATGGAGTGCTGTAAAACAAAGACAGGCACCATTACAAAAATGTAGCAGGGGAGTTAGGAGACTGGATCTAAGCTCCGAGCAGGTGAGGACGGTGCCTGACTCAGTGCTTGGGACATCATAGAGCATTTAAGATCTTGTTGAGCAAATGATGGAGTGACCGAATAAATGTCATCCTGGGAAAATGGACCTAGGAGATTTCCGTATTCAAGCTATGAGATTGTGAATTCCTGCGTGAGATGATTAACATACAATTTCAAAGATTCCTGTTAAATTCCAAAATGACTCAGATTTTTCTATGCTTTTTGGATTTCTGAAGACTGAGGTTTTCTGCAGTGAGGACTCACTTGCCCCCTGCCCGTCCTTACTTCCTGCTGTACTTGAATATGGGCTTCCTGCCCTAGGAAGGAAGTTTGACATCGGAGTAAATCTCCGTGTCGCAATATTCTTCAGGTTTCTCAATTCAAGCCAAACATCAAGTGCCTCCTGGCTGGGTGATGGGGGAATCGCTGAAATCTGATATTGTCCCTAGAAGGCAAAC
Organism: Homo sapiens; assembly: GCF_000001405.40. NCBI lineage: Eukaryota > Metazoa > Chordata > Mammalia > Primates > Hominidae > Homo > Homo sapiens. The sequence goes on from NC_000006.12 coordinate 158,655,460, forward strand.
ACTCAAGACAGAATGAAATCAGGGTCACCATCGAAATATACAAATTAGAAAGCAGTTAAATTTGAAGGAGCAATGGATCTTTATTGTAAATGAGGAGAAAGTTTCTGAACTGGGTAGCCTTGATCTGGCCCTTGAAGGGCTAATAGTAAGAGTGAGGCTGCTCTTACTGTTAGTACCACGACTGTCAGCCGGCATTAGCTGAGTGTACTTATGAGCTGAGCACTGTGCTCTAGAGGTCTCCACATGCATCAGCACGTTTCGTCATCATAGCACCGCCGTGAAGTGGGTGCTGCACCTGTCTACTTCGTAGATGAGGACATGAAGCCCCAGAGGGCTTAAGTAACTTGCCCATCATCAGCTCAACAGCAAGTCGGTGGCAGAGGCAGCTACTCACCCACACAGCCAGCCCCCAGCCCTGGTCTCATGACTGTCCCCATCTCTTGCCTCATTGGGCAGAAGGAAGAGTGGGGCCGATGCGTGGAAATGCAGAGCGCATGTGGTCAGGGAATGGTCTTGAATGAGGTCAGTATGGGAGTGGCGAGCATTCTGTGGGAACTGAGGATGGAGGAGTCAGGAGAACTGGATCGGGAGGTCACGACTGGGATGCCTGTGCTTTAGAATGTGTTTACGGGAAGGGAAAACCAGCGTGACTTCACTGGAGAGTGGAAGAGTGACACATTCCCACCTCAGTATTGTCACATCTGCCGTCTCTCACCCTAGAGATGCCTTCTCCTCCTTTCCAATCCTCACACAACTCCCCTCTTCTCCCAGGCCTGGCGGTGGCGTCTCAGCCAGGCAGGTGTCCTGTCCTTTCCTGTCACCTGTCAGTCTTCCTCTTCCTCGTGGTCCATTCAGCAACATCACTGCTGCTCTGGGTGGTTGCATGTGGTCGTTTGCCTGCAAGCAGGTGGGTGCAGCCAGTTCAGGACCCCTGTGACAACTATTCCTGTTACCTGCTTTGTGAGTGTTAAAAATGTCATCCTTGGCCGGGTGCGATGGCTCACGCCTGTAATCCCAGCACTTTGGGAGGCTGAGGCGGGCAGATCACGAGGTCAGGAGATCGAGACCATCCTGGCTGACACGGTGAAACCCCATCTCTACTAAAAGTACAAAAAATTAGCCGGGCATGGTGGCAGGCGCCTGTAGTCCCAGCTACTCAGGAGGCTGAGGCAGGAGAATGGCGTAAACCCGGGAGGTGGAGCTTGCAGTGAGTGGAGATTGTGCCACTGCACTCCAGCCTGGGCGACAGAGCGAGACTCTGTCTCAAAAAAAAAAAAATCATCCACCTTACTCCCTTACTCTATTGTTGTAGAAGGGCCTGAAGCACAAACCTGGTGTTGTGTGGTGATGGCGGGACAGTGTGGAGAAATATGCAGCGAATTTTAATAGATTTCACAGAATTCCTTGACTACCTCATGTTCTACTTCAAAATGGCACAAAACCAAAAGCATTCAAGAGAGAATTACATTTGTTTTATCCATTTTTAAGACTATGTAAAGTAACTCCATGTGGTTTTTCATATCTTGCTAGTGTAAGTGACCAGAATTTAAATCTGTAAAGGTTCACTTTTTCTTGCTAATGCTGTGAGGTGTTTGGAAGTTATCTCTGATCTTCCTGGTACTTACTATAGGCTCATTCAGTTTACTAATTAACTCCATCTGCCACCTTAAAAACCCTTAGTAGTGGCCGGGCACGGTGACTCATGCCTGTAATCCCAGTACTTTGGGAGGCCGAGGCGGACAGATCAACTGAGGTCAGGAGTTCAAGACCAGTCTGGCCAACATGGTGAAACCCTTTCTCTACTAAAAATACAAAAATTAGCCGTGTGTGATGGCGCGTGCCTGTAATCCCAGCTACTCAGGAGGCTGAGTCAAGAGAATCGCTGGAACCTGGGAGGTAGAGGTTGTAGTGAGGCGAGATTGCACCATTGCACTCCAGCCTGGGTGGCAGAGCGAGACTCTGGCTCAAAAAAAAAAAAAAAAAAAAAGAGAGAAAAAGAAAAAAGAAAAAAAGAGAAACTGTTAATGGCTAGGAAAAACTTTATGAAAAAACAAAACAAAAAACCTGAAAGATAATTTTAAAATGAGTAAATTGTCACCTAGGCATACTTTGTCTTGGAAAAATAGACTATGACTCTGTCTCAAAAGAAAAGAAGTAAAGGGATAGTGAATGATAATATGTACTTGTATATGTAAACTGCATGAGAAGACAAGGTGAAATAGTCAGATGTTTGCATACATCAAATCATATTAAGGACATTGTCTGCAGACGCGGGCCATCAATACATGGCATAGTGATTCCAGTACCATAAGCAATGTTGCCCTCCATGATGTCTTTCTGAAACAATAAAAAATTCTTGTTAAAGTTTGAAATGAAACAAAATAGTCTTCCTTCCATTTACACACTAGTTGCATTTCTTTTTTTTTTTTTAACTTATTACTATTATTTTTTGAGACGGAGTCTTGCTCTGTCGCCCAGGCTGGAGTGCAGTGGCACTATCTCAGCTCACTGCAAGCTCTGCCTCCCAGGTTCATGCCATTCTCCTGCCCCAGCCTCCCAAGTAGGTGGGACTACAGGCGCCTGCCACAACACCCGGCTAATTTTTTGTATTTTTAGTAGAGACGGGGTTTCACTGTGTTAGCCAGGATGGTCTCAATCTCCTGACCTCGTGATCCGCCTGCCTCAGCCTCCCAAAGTTCTGGGATTACAGGCGTGAGCCACCACGCCCGGCCCACTAGTTGCATTTCTAGAACATTTGGAGTGTACAAAACCCTGCAAAATATACTTTTAAATATGAGTTAAATTCTGTTGTTAATTAAAATTTTTTTTTGCCTAAATGACTTGTATGATTTATATGAAAATGCAAGACAGTTATTTGTCGCTGTGACAATCATATATACTCCACACATTCCTAAAGATGGGGGTATGGTACTGCACTCATTGAAAAGCTGGAGCGAGTCCCGCTGAAATGAAGCAACTGTGGTTCAATCGAATGCCCAACGCCATCAAGCCAGTGGGGACACCAGTGGAACACTGGAAACCAAAGAGAAATGACCTTCATAGCTTTCTGGTCAATCTTGATGCTACCATAGGATGATGCTCTATGCTATACCTCTTGGATCGTTGCAAAAAGTTACCCCTTCTTTGGAGTGGACCTTCCAAAGTTAAACAGAAGAGTACGTCGGCCAGGCGCGGTAGCTCACGCCTATAATCCCAGCACTTTGGGAGGTCGAGGTGGGAGGATCACCTGAAGTCAGGAGTTTGAGACCAGCCTGGCCAACATGGTGAAACCCTGTCTGTACTAAAAATACAAAAAAAAATTAGCCAGGCATGGAGGCACACGCCTGTAGTCGCTACTACTCGGGAGGCTGAGGCAGGAGAATCACTTGAACCTGGGAGGCGGACGTTGCAGTGAGCAGAGATCATGCCATTGCACTCCAGCTTGGGTGACAAGAGCGAAACTCCATCTCAAAAAAAGAGGGTATGTCTCAATCTTATCAATAGAAGGCTTTACTCATAGTAGTTGCTAAACCATAGGGTTGGTTGATTGTTGTTCTAAGTGCTAACCAAGTGCTTGAGTGACATGGTTTATAGAAGCTAGAATCAAGGTTTAGAGAAACTAGGATCAAAGTCTCTAAAAGTGAAGAGTAACAATGATGGGATGAATGCGGAATACACATACCTCGAGTTCTCTAAGCTCAGTCCCAGGCAACTGGGAACACCAGAAGGTTTCCTGCTTTGGTCTGTATTTGAAATACTTCCAGTGAATTACAATGTAGTGTTATATCCTTGGCTTTAATTTGAGGTCAATATAGTGATACAGAAAGTACAGTTTTGCACATCTTCTGCCAAGCCAGAAGGAGCTGTCTGTCTAGGGAGTTGATCGTCTTAGTCTTTTCTTTTTTTTCTTCTTGAGACGGAGTTTCACTCTTGTTGCCCAGGCTGGAGTGCGATGGTGCGATCTTGGCTCACTGCAACCTCTGCCTCCCGGGTTCAAGTGATTCCCCTGCCTCAGCCTCCCGAGTAGCTGAGATTACAGGCATGTCCCACCAATCCTGGCTAATTTTGTATTTTTAGTAGAGACAGGGTTTCACCATGTTGGTCAGGCTGGTCTCCAACTCCTGACCTCAGTTGATCCGCCCGCCTCGGCCTCCCAGAGTGCTGGGATTACAAGCGTGAGCCACTGCACCTGGGCAATTGTCTTAGTCGTTTGCATTTTGAGGATGTCTTTCTGTATTTCTTTCAGTGTATTAAAGCTATAGACAGCATCTTGACTTTTCATTTCGTTTTGTTTTGCTTTGCCTTGGCTACCAGGAAGGTCAGAAATACATTTAAGGTTGAAGTGGTCACTGTTTTACTTCCTGTTCTTAGTAGAATTATCAGTCCTTTTTCACTGGCTGCTGATGTCTCTCTGACTTTATTTTAGCTGTCTTCTATAAGCTTTTATTGTAAGCTGCATCATATTTTTGTTAGATGTAGAATAGGGTATAAATGACCAGTCAGTCAAGTCATGAACCTTAAGAACCTTGAACAGGCCGGGCGTGGTGGTCCATGCCTATAATCCCAACACTTTGGGACGCCGAGGGCCTGAGGTCAGGAGTTCGAGACCAGCCTGACCAACATGGTGAAACCCCGTCTCTACTAAAAATACAAAAATTAGCCGGGCGTGGTGGCGGGCACCTGTAATCCCAGCTACTCGGAAGGCTGAAGCAGGAGAATTGCTTGAACCCAGGAGGCGGAGGTTGCAGTGAGCCGAGATCGCACCACTGCACTCCAGCCTGGACAACAGAGCAATACTCCGTCTCAAAAACAACAACAACAACAAAAAACAAAAAACAAAAAAACCCGGAACAGCGCCTGGGGTGTTCAATAAATATTTACTGAATGACTGGATGAATGGATCCAGGAAATGAACTGAATTTCATTTTTCTGTAACGCGGAGTGAATGGGCACTAGGGGGAGCGTGAGCTCCCTCTTAGCCTTCGAAAGGGCGTTTCCCACACTTGCACCTGGGGCCCACAGGCGGGGGTTTGGGAAAGTAAGTGTAGTGCTTTGTAATGATCATTGAACCCTGTATTTCTGAAGTGCGTTAAGACCTAATAGCCACCTGTATGAGCGAGCGGTTGAGTATTTCAGATTCCCCCACCAGATTCACTGAGTGGTGTCATTACCAGCCAATACTGCAGCTATGTGGTCCTGCTTACCTGGAGTACTGGAGACCAGAGCCAGAGAACGGAGCACAAACAGCCACATGAAAAGAAAGCACAGTGCACAGAGCAAGTGTTTGCAGCCAGGTGCAAAAACTCTTCACTAAAAACACTCGAGAGCCAGGTGCAGTGGCTTACACCTGTAAACCTAGCACTTTGGGAGGCTGAGACAGGAGGACTGCTTGAGCCCAGACCAGCCTGCGCAACATGGTGAAACCCATCTCTACAAAATTAAAACATTAGCTAGGCATGGTAGCCCGCACCTGTAGTCCCAGCTACTCGGGAGGCGGAGGCTAAAGGATTGCTTGAGCCTGGGAGGCCAAGGCTGCAGTGAGCCATGATGGTGCCACTGCACTCCAGCCTGGGTGACAGAATGAGGTCCTGTCTCAAAATAAATAAATGAAAACTCAAGAATTAGACAAACCAGATGGCTCTGGACCCAGTAGTACGATTAGTAGAGTGGAAATAAGAAGACAGCATGAAGAACTGAGGGGCAAGTTGAGAAGAATGGGCTCGTGCAGTTGGTGACTTGATGGCTAATTTGCACCTTGCCACTTGGCACTTGGTCACACACAGTTTTCTATTACTTTCCTCTTTTCCAGAGACTCAGAGCCTTGGGGCACTGAGGGATGCCAGTTCTGCCTGTTCATCTGGAACCTGGATCTAAGGAGGGAAGAGGCGTTGCCCCTGCTGGCATAGTCAGGTACCAGCCCAGCCAGGTAAGAACCTAAAGTCCTTGTTGCTTTGTGATTTTCCCTTCATCTAGAGAGGAGGCCTTTGGAGAACAGGTCTTGTGGGTGCTTTGTCAGAGACTAGAAGCCGAGAACATCCCTTTTCAGAGCTCTGGGTTTTCTGTTCCTCATGCAACCTCTGCAGTTGGGATGAATAATATATTTTAATTTTATTTTACAATAGGGAAACTGACAAATATTGAATTCCTGAACTGAGCAATCTTGGCCTGTAGGCCCATGAACTTGGAGAAAAAATTAAATCTTTATTTTTATTAACCTTTAACTCAAATTTAGCATTTTCTTAAAATATGGATATAGGCAAGAAACCACAGTAGAATCAGCAGAACTTGTGACTTTGTCACCAACAGAAATCACAGATATTTTCATACCACATGATATGTTGTAGCTATCTCAAGACATTGTTTCTATTCATCACTACTTTGAAATTCTGGGAGTCCTTAGATCACTGCTAGATCTTAATATTTCATGCATCAAGGAACACATATATTACTATATTACAATTTTTAAATATTTCAGTATAATCAATTTCTTCCTATGTAACACAGCATACCTTATTTTATGCGTTTAAATACGTAGGCTTCACCAGACTACCAAAGATTAAGAAAAAGGTTAAGAACCTTTGCTTAAAGGAAATGCTACCTTAGAGCTCTGTTAGCCTCTCATTCACTAATTTGCCATGGATCATAAATTAATATAATGCAGATTTTTTTTGAAGCCTAGCAAAGGAAGTTTAGCTTTTAAAGCATTGAAAGGACGTCTTATCACTAAGGGATTCCCATAGATTTAATAACAAAAATGGTACTATAGGAAGTATATTGATTTGATCTTCTGCATTTTCTGGATAAAAGGATGTATGCAGAACCTTTCAGCTGTCATTAAACAAAAACAAGAGCTAATGCATAAGGCAGCTCATGAAACTTATTCAAGACTGTAAATAATTGATAGGCTGAGCTTGTGGTGGTGCTGCTTCATACATCCTTAATTGATTAAACATTTTTTGAGTGTTGAAGTTAATGGTAAAAATAATAGCCAACAGTTGGGAATGTCATTTTTCCAGTATTTCTTCAATTAGGGTAATGTACATTAAACACAGACTTTTACGTCCTCTGACCACTAAAGTTATGGAATCCATATTAGGAAAATTCAAGTTTGGAAGTTTGAGGCTTTTAGAAATATGAGAAGTGTTATTTAAGCAAATTTAAAATTTTACATTATCACCGCGAGCAGAAAATGCAAGGGTTTGTGTAGAATATTTTGTCTTTTTGGAAGTAATGCTGCAGAGATACTTAAGCCAAGAAAAATGTTGCCATTTTTTGTTTTCTTTTCTGCAGGTATTGAACGGGCTGAGCTTTTCATGATGGTTCCTGCTGACCTGGAAACATCTTAAATGGAAGGTTAGCTTCTATGAGTCACTGATACTCTTTTTATTGCTATTTCTAAATTTCCTTGGCTTGAAAATTACTTCTGCTTTGCAGAAATTATCTGCTTGCAGCTGTGGATAATTTATAACAATCTCTGGTGAAACCTCAGAAAAGAGATATGCTTTTGTCTTAGATGGATGTCAGCAGCTGCTGCAGAACCCGGTGAAAACACCCCCCGGGTAGCACGAGGCTCTGCGAGCCGTAACTCCGACAAACGCAGAACTTCTTGAGGCTTTCTTCTTCTAAGGAGTATGACACAGTTAAAAAGGAAAAAAGAACCACAAGCAAAACAGTTGCCAGTGAAATAGGAGAGGGAGCTCTTTAAACAAGGCTGGCTGCAGCTGGCCTCCGCCGCTCATCTGCAGGGCGTGAGCGCTTGGTCCATGCAGTGAAGCTCTTCCAACCTGGGTCAACGAAAACGGAGAAGAAATGGCCCAAGAAATAGATCTGAGTGCTCTCAAGGAGTTAGAACGCGAGGCCATTCTCCAGGTCCTGTACCGAGACCAGGCGGTTCAAAACACAGAGGAGGAGAGGACACGGTAGGCTGCCCTTCCCGGGGGGTCACTTTGGGTGTTTAGCTTTCTCTGCTTGGGGCCTGCCACTCCGTCGCCAATGCTGTTTGCTTACAAATCACTACCCACCTGCTGCTGGGCTTCGTGCCTGAGAAGGGTCCTAACGAAGGTCTGTTGGTGGAGATGATCCTCCTTATGTAACTAAACGTAGAGGACGCTCAGGAGGAGGAGGGAGGCCGCTCTTGTTATTCATTTAAAACGGTGCCTTTGGGCGGTAAGTTTGCTGTCTGCCATCTGCTTGTCTGTTTGCCGACTTCGTGGGAATCATTCAAGGGACATTTTCAGGCTTCCAGTTTACCCCTTCTTTAAGGAAAGACCTCCAGTTAAGGGTTTTCCTACCTCATTTTTGACGGTGCCGGGAGGTGTAAAGAAAAGCAAAGAAAGAGGCTCACAAGCAGCAACTCTGATGGAATCCAGCCCTGTCTTTTTTTCTTTGCTCGCTTTTGCTTCCCAGCTGGCTTTGAGGAAGGGGGAGCATAAAATATGAACCTGCTTAGCCTGTTTCCTGACCGCTTTGCCAACAGGGAACTCTTCCCTGTCTGTCTCTAAGCTGCACGGGCCGTTTGATATGGGTCAGCATTTAGAAAAGCGTGCTGAACTCTAGCAGAGCAGTGTTCCGCCTTAGCTGTCAAGATCCATCTTTAAACAGGTTGGCGCTTGTTTATCAATGTCTATGGAGGAAGTGAGGGTTTGGTTTCTAATGGCAGAACACATTAGAAAACAAAACTTTGGACAACCAAATGCTTGAGGAGTGAGGAGAATTTTCTGGTATAGTATTCTTCATCCTCCCTGTTATTTCAAAGCTTTCTAAGTGCACTTGTAAACTTTCTTCCATTAAAAACTATAATACAGTCTGGGCGTGGTGGCTCACGCCTGTCATCCCAGCACTTTGGGAGGTTGAGGCGGGCGGATCACCTGAGGTCAGGAGTTTGAGACCAGCCTGGCCAACATAGTGAAACCCTGTCTCTACTAAAAATACAAAAATTAGCCGGGCGGTGGCAGGTGCCTGTAATCCCAGCTACTCAGGAGGTTGAGACAGGAGAATCCCTTGAACCTGGGAGGTGGAGTTTGCAGTGAGCTGAGATCGCGCCACTGCACTCCAGCCTGGGCAATAGAGCAAGCCTCTGTCTCAAACCAACAACAAAAAAACGAAAACAAAAACTATAATACAGTGAGAAAAGTGAAATTTTATTTGATGATGAAAGATCTTTCAGTGATTTGAGACATCCTTTTGAATATTAACAAAGTGACATAGACATAGTGATAACAAAGTTGTATTTCAAAGGGTACTAATTCTAGGGTAGATCCTGAAAGTTGAATTTTAAAGTGCATTTCTGATGTCATCTTGTTTCTTGGGATTGGCTCATCTTTTCTACAAGTAGGTATCACAGACATTCATAAAAGAGCGTGCTAGTAAATGACACCTTTTTGGTCCAATACAGTATCTCTTTGCACTATGGCTATTTGTCTAGGGGAGTGGGCTGACCACTTATTAAAAAAAAAATGTAGCAAAAGCATAGCATCAGTTGATTTTATTGGGCAACTTATACCCATAGCAGGATGTATGCTGTGTGTTTCTAGATTATTCCATGCCTTGCAGATTAGAATGGATGCTCCTTTCAGTGTCTTTTCCTCTCCTTTCACTATTCTTGCTTACTATCATAACAGCCTTTGGGCAGGAAGGGATGGACCTAGCAGGGAGCTTCTCTGCCCCAGGCATGTTATTTATACTTTGCCATTTAGTCCTCACAGCAACCCTGGGAGGTAAGGTCATATCACCTGTTTCACGGTTGAAAAAACCCTTGAGACTCGACTCTGAGATGTTGAGTGAGAGCCCAGTTCACACAGCCATGTTGGAGTCCAGGGATGTCGAATGCCAAAGCCCCTTCCCTTGCCATGGGGGTTACTGCCTGGGCTCTTGCCCTATAGCCTGGGGTCAGGTGTTCCATCTAATACTATCTTCTTTAACTCTGAGGGCTGCAGGAAACTGAAAACACACCTGCAGCATCTCCGGTGGAAAGGAGCGAAGAACACGGACTGGGAGCACAAAGAGAAGTGCTGTGCGCGCTGCCAGCAGGTGCTGGGGTTCCTGCTGCACCGGGGCGCCGTGTGCCGGGGCTGCAGCCACCGCGTGTGTGCCCAGTGCCGAGTGTTCCTGAGGGGGACCCATGCCTGGAAGTGCACGGTGTGCTTCGAGGACAGGTAAGCATGGCCGGTGGTTGGATCCCTCCCACTGATTCAGGTCTCGGAGGAGGCCTCTTTACAAACCGCTCATAAAGAGAGCACTCACTCCTCACCTTCAGCCAGTAAATGTGTACCGAGTGCCTGATAGGGAGCTACCTTTCTAGCCTTGGAAGTTATCTTCATCCAAAAATAAATTTTATGTAGCAACATTTTTTTCATTTACAGAAGTTTGGGCCAAGTGTGGTGGCTCATGACCGTAATCCTAGCATTTTGGGAGGCCAAGGTGGGTGGATTGCTGGAGCCCAGGAGTTTGAGTCCAGCCTGGGCAACGTAGTGAGACCCCATCTCTACAAAAAAATACAAAAATTAGCCAAGTGTGGTGGTGCATGCCTGTAGTCCCAGCTACTCAGGAGGCTGAGATGAGAGGATCATTTGAACCTGGGAGCTGTGATTGTACCACTGCACTCCAGCCTGGGCAACAGAGTGAGAACCTGTTTAAACAACAAAAGTTTGTTAAGTCGAAGGATGGGCTAACCCAGGAGTTCAGATTCATTTGGGTCTCTTAACTAAGTGCTGTCATTTTCTTAGCACTTAATTTATCTCCTTCAGTACCAGTGGAGTAAATTATAATCTAGGGAATATTGGAGTAATCATCTGAGGCTTTAAATACTGCGTTTTTGAAGCTGACCTGTCTTTAATACTCAGCTAAAGAAATGGACATGCTTCCCTTTAGTGACAGACTGAATCTACGTTTATAGTTATCAATTGGTGTTTAGGGGGTTTTAATACCAGTTTTAACATGGAATTGGTGTTTTTGCGTTCCCCATTCTGAAAACGATAAAGAGCCAACTTGGCTTAGACTCCTGCTGTTCAAAGCAAGAATGAACTGGCCATGAGCTCCGTGAAAACACTAGAGGGGTGACTCCGTCTGCTGGGGGAGACGGTGCACAAGGACATCACAGAACTTCGGAGAAGGGAAGGAATACTAGGCTGGTGTGAATGGGAGTCATCAGAGACCCTGAGATTTGAAAACAACTTCTAAATATTGCCACAGATGTGTGAGTGCCCCAGGGACAAAGACTGTGGGAGGCACTTACACAGTGTGGGCATTGTGGCTGGGGTTTCTTCCCCCTAAATCCGGAGGGCTGTGTTTAACGCACGCCCTGGCATTCATTTACTTAAGTGTCCTGTCCCTTTGCAAGGCTTACTGTATTTCAGTCATCTAGCCAGAGAGGTGAAGTGGTTCAACCTGATTTCTTTGCTCTTGAACTGCATTCCGTCCATTTCGCTCACAGCGTGCCAAGTCGCACGGACGGTGGCCGAATTCGCCTTCTCATCTCATGTTTCTTTGGTTTGCTGAAGCCATTGTCCTTCAGGCTTTTCCTTGCTTGAGAGCAAAAAATAATTACTGTGAGCTGCCCTGGCGGCATAGAGAGCAATTCCAAATCATCTCTAGAAAGGTCTCAGTATCTTCTTCCCCATTTCAACCAACCATATATATTTGAAGTCTAATAATAAACATTGCTGGGCAGGGTGTTACATTTCTCAGCATTTTTTCTTCTTCTACCAATGAACTGTAAACGAAAAATCAAAACAAGAGGACAAGGTCTGAGGCAATCTCCCAGGAAGCTGACAGTGTTGAAATCTCTGCCCTAGTGAGTCTTGTGTCCCAGGCACTGTAACTTTACCCTCTAAGTACATGAAATACGACTTCTAAAACCCCAGCTTCCTTATTTTGAAATGAGGTTGGTTTTCAAAATACTTAAGGTCATTGCATTACTATGAGTGCATTAACAGGAGAAGTCGGGAGGGGAGAGAGCCAAGTAGTTTGTGGTGATGTGCATTTTCTTTCCCCTCGCCTTGCTCCCTGTCCCCGCAGCCCTCTGTCCTCTCTCCAGCTTTATCCAGTCTGGGCTGTCCTCCTCCTCTTTAGGACCAAAAGAAAGATGAGACTTTGTAAAACTTTAGAATCTTTGACATTCATAACTGTCGCACATCTGGGGACCTAGAAAAGGTTTTTGACCCCGATCATTGTCTCCCCTGCTTCTTCCTTCGCTTCAGGCTCATTTCTCAAGAAAAAGTGGATCTGTGACAGGAACAAGATGAGGAAAATTGGTTTTTAAAATCAAGAAAGGGGAAGTGCTAGGGTAGCAATGACCAAAACCAACCAACCAACTCGCAGGTTGCTGCAGAACAAGAGGCCTGTGGCAGGTGTTGGCCCTGATCTTGTGTTGAGAGGTTCCAGAAGACATTTAAGATAAAGTTTCTGTCTTCAGGGAAGGTTTTCTCTTAGAGAACTGAGTGCCAAGTTGCTAAGGGCCCTGGGAGCTCAGAGAGGGAGAGATGAGGCAGGCTGAGTGGCTCAAGACGACTTCCAGAACATCCATGGTTGGAATAGTCTTTTAATGTTTTATTAAAAGCATAAAACAATCGTGTGGGGTAGCTACTACTTTCATCCTCATTTTACAGTTGAGAAAGTGGAGGATTAGAGACACAAGATGGTTTGTCCATGTCATATCAGTAAGAACAGAGTGAAGATGGCAACCCAGGTCCCCCCGGCCCCCAGGCCTCCTTCTGAATCTCCAGTCCTCTCCCGCCTGCTAGGAGCCTTGTCCTGGGAGGGCAGAGTCTTTTATTTATTTATTTATTTTGAGACAGAGTTTCACTCTTGTCACCCAGGCTGGAGTGCAGTGGTGTGATCTCGGCTCACTGCAACCTCTGCCTCCAGGTTCAAGCGATTCTCCTGCCTCAGCCTCCCAAGTAGCTGGGATTGCAGGCACCTGCTGCCACGCCTGGCTAATTTTTATATTTTTAGCAGAGACGGGGTTTCACCATGTTGGCCAGGCTGGCCTCGAATTCCTGACCTCAGGTGATCCACCTGCCTGGGCTTCCCAAAGGGCTGGGATTACAAGCATGAGCCACTGCGCCCGGCCGGCAGAGTCTTAAAAGCCACTTAGAAGAGCTTGCCTCCAAGACAGTAGGAGCTGGAGCCTGAGCATGTGCTCTTTGCCAAGCGAACACCATGCCGAAAGTCTGCCTGGTTTTGCAGGGCAAGATCAGGAGAGCGGAAGGTAAAGGTAAAAGAGCAATCTGAGAGTTGCTGCAGTGAATGAGAGGCACCGAGGGAGGAGGCTGGTGGCAATAGTGATGGAGAATGGGAGAGACAGGAAAAGGGGAGGATGGACCTTGGTTACAGGGGATAAAAGAGAAAGGTGAAAAGTGATTCTGAGGACTGGCCAGACAGGTCGCTTGGCATGCTGAACTGGATCACGGGGCATCCGAGAACCGAAGGAACAGAAAGAGCCCAGTAATCAAAGGCACACTGGAAAGGACTTAGAAGAACCAAGGAAAGTTGTTTTCAGTAGTGAAGGGGCTCCTGTTGTCCTCAGCAGGGGCCGATCAGAAGAGGGTGACTTGGGAGGAGAAACAAAGAAGTTAAAAGCAGAAACATCCTTGTTTTCCACTGATGTTTCTTCCCGGGGAATGTATTGACACTTTCTGCAGTGAAATGGCAGATGGTAACAATTATGTTGAAATATCAAGGAGGAGACTATGCTTTGTATGTTTGTTTTAGCTTCATCAAAAAAATAAGATTAACCTTGATGATTTATGTTTGCATTAATTTTTTCTATTAAAACGAATATACTGTGTCATAACTAATTCCACATCTAAAAGAAACCTGGTCTTCTCCCTTAAGATTGCTGAGGAATTACTCTTGTTCAGACTTGTTTCCTTCAAACTGTGATCTTCTTGTCATGCTTTGTAATTGCTGTGACAACAAATCAATGATTCTTCAGCTTCAGGTATCTGTGGACACACTGCCTGTTTCGTTAGGAACATTTTGCTGCCAGTCAGGTGCTTTAGAACCAAATTGGTTTGTACAGAGAATTCTGTAAGTTGCAAGTATTTTAACAATGATAAAGGTGCAACGGAGCTTATATACCATCATTAGAACAGAAGGTTTCAAGTTGCAGCAGGTGATACTGTTGATTTCAGGGTACTTTCCTGAATTGCTCAAATTTGTCTCTTGTACCACACCTGATGCCAACAAAGAGCTGCTTAAGTGTGTTCGGTTGAAAAATTGATCCAGACCTTGGCATTTTATTATTATGTCCTTAGTTCTCAGGTTGGGTCTTGAGTTATTGCTGCAGAGCAGTAGTGGTTAAAATAAGATCTTGGAATTTATCAAAAGGGAGGTGAGCTGGATGTGGTCATCCACGAGGTCATGGATGTGGTGTGTATGCCTGTGGTCCCAGTTACTCATGGAATGCCCAAGCGGGAGGATCACATAAGCCCAGGAGTTTGAGGCCAGCCTGGCCAACATAGTGAGACCTCGTCTCTGAAACAACTTAAAAAGGTTTTTTGTTGTTGTTGTTGTTGTCATTCAGCATTTCAGATAAGGACTTAAGATGTAAAGATATTGTTACAGGATGATGCATTGTATTTTCTGCATTGCATGAAAGAATTTTTATTGAAAATGAAGTGACATTTCAAAGGAAGTTCTATTCTAATTATGTTTCTGCCTAAAGTAAACTTCCCAGATTTTAGAAAATGTAATCTTTTAAATTTCAGACTGGTTTTCCCAGTACTTTTATAATCCCATGTTTTGATAAAATATTGAATTATCATTTTATATTCACAAAGGCAAATAACTAGTGTATGAGAATGGGATAATTCACTCTCACTCTTGAAAATATATCTACCCTTCAAGTGAGTAAAAGGTCTAACTCTGCTAACTCTGTAAAAGATTGAAAAGAAATTGAATGCCAAGTGTGATACAGGAGAGTTGGCAAGGAAAGATTTTAGCCTGGTGCCAAGGTTAAGATGATATTTGTCTACTGACTCTTTCCTGTTTCAAAACCTTATTTCTTTTTTTCCCTCTAAATCCTACTTTTAACATTGCTGGCCGGGCATGGTGGCTCATGCCTGTAATCCCAGCACTTTGGGAGGCTGAGGCGGGTGGATCACTTGACGTCAGGAGTTCAAGACCAGCCTGGCCAACATGGTGAAACCCCATATCTACTGAAAATACAAAAATTAGGCCGGGCACAGTGGCAGGCGCCTGTAATCCCAGCTACTTGGGAGGCTGAGGTACAAGAATCGCTGGAACCGGGGGGCGAAGGTTGCAATGAGCGGAGATCACACCAATGCCCTCCAAGCTAGGCGACAGACTCAATCTCAAAAAAAAGAAAAAAAAGAAATGTACAGAGTATTTTTTTTTTTTTGAGACTGAGTCTCGCTCTGTCGCCCAGGCTGGAGTGCAGTGGCATGATCTCGGCTCACTGCAAGCTCCGCCTCCTGGGTTCACGCCATTCTCCTGCCTCAGCCTCCCAAATAGCTGGGACTACAGGCGCCCACCACCAAGCCCGGCTAATTTTTTTTGTATTTTTAGTAGAGACAGGGTTTCACCTTGTTAGCCAGGATGGTCTTGATCTCCTGATCTAGTGTTCCGCCCGCCTCAGCCTCCCAAAGTGCTGAGATTACAGGCGTGAGCCACGGCGCCCGGCCTATGGAGTACTTTTTAGAAAAAAAAAGTTTCTTTTGTGTTTACTAAAGGGAATGTTTTGACAATAGTGTGTGTGTTTTACTAAAGGGAATGCTTTGACAATAGTGTGTGTGTCATTCTTCTTGTTGAAACTGAACTGTATTCTGTAGTCAGCACTTGATTAGTTAGGGAAAGTCCTGCCTTTAAAACCTTTTTGAGAACCGGTGAGCTTTCTGCGCATTGTCTTTTGTTAATATTCTCTGTTGTCACCTTACGTAGTTCAGCTGAAACCTGTCACCCTGTAAGGGAGGGGAGCCCCAAGAGAGTTTTTCTGGGTTGGCATTTTGCATGGTAGCCAAGACAGTTTAGCATCCAGGGTTCACACCAAGAATGGTTTATAGATAATTTTATCGGTGGCTCATGCCTGTAATCCCATCACTTTGGGAGGCTGAGGCGGGTAGATCACTTGAGGTCAGGAGTTGAAGACCAGCCTGGCCAACATGGTGAAATCCCATCTCTACTGAAAATACAAAAATTAGCCGGGCATGATGGCGCACCCCTGTAATCCCAGCTACTCTGGAGGAGGCTGAGGCAGGAGAATCTCTGGAACCTGGGAGGCGGAGGTTGCAGTGAGCTGACAGCGAGACTCAGTCTAAAAAAAAAAAAAAAGATAATTATTTAAATTATTTAGCCAATCATTTTGAAACCTCTATATTTTTATAATTATTATCTATATGTTATACAGCATCTCTTTCCATAATTATTTTTGTTACCTTCAGTGTTTTCTGATTATATTTACAACAATATTTTAAACCAACTTTGCATTTTATAACTGATTCAAGTGCTCATTGCTAGTCTTTGGAGACCATGATTTCCCAGTTTGCAAGTTCTTTATTTTGATTCATTTTTCAATCACTTGAATTGCCTCCTTAAGAAGTTTTTCCTCACACCTGTAATCCCAGCACTTTGGGAGGCCGAGGTGGGCAGATTGCCTAAGCTCAGGAGTTCATGACCAGCCTGGGCAACACAGTGAAACCCTGTCTCTACTAAAATACAAAAAATTAGGTGGGCATGGTCGTGTGTACCTGTAATCCCAGCTACTTGGGAGGTTGAGGCAGGAGAATTGCTTGAACCCGGGAGGCGGAGGTTGCAGTGAGCCGAGATTGCACTACTGCACTCCAGCCTGGGCGACAGAGCAAGACTGTCTCAAAAAAAAAGTTTTTCCCCAGGAGAGGACTGTGAGTGGTGTATTTTCCACGTCATTGCGTATTTGAGAGTTGCTTTCCGTGGTCTTCCTTCATGAGGAATGATTTCACTGGGTTTTAAGTCCTGGGTTGCCACTGTTTACTCAGTAAATGCAGCCATGTTGCCTTTTGGAATTTAACATTATGGAGACAGCTGATGCTAGTTTTATTTTTATTTCATTGTTTATCTCCTGATTTTTATGTAGAAGAAACATACTGGTTTTTTTGTTTCTTTTTTTTTTTTTTGGCAGAGACTGCAGCCTTATTCTCTTTTAAAACTTTTTATTTAGTTGGTTTTTAATTTTTTTAATTTAATTTTTTTTTTGAGACTGAGTCTCACTCTGTCGCCCAGGCTGGAGTGCAGTGGCACGATATCAGCTCACTGCAACCTCCGCCTCCTGGGTTCAAGTGAGTCTCCTGCCTCAGTTTCCCTAGTAGCTGAGATTACAGGTGTGTGTTACCACACCCAGCTAATTTTTTGTATTTTTTTGTAGAGATAGGGGTTTCACCTTGTTGGTCAGGCTGGTCTCAAACTCCTGGCCTCAAGTGATCTGCCCGTCTCGGCCTCTCAAACTGCTGGAATTTCAGGCGTGAGCCACCTCACCTCACCTAGTTAGTTTTTTTAGAGACAGGGTGTCACTCCGTCACCCAGGCTAGAGTACAGGGTGTGATCATAGCTCACTGCAGCCTCCAACGCCTGGGTTCAAGAGACCTTCCTGCCTCAGCCTCCCAAATAGCTGGGACTCCAAGTACGCACCACCACATCTGGCTGATATAGATATGTTTTAAGACAAGGTCTTACTATGTTATCCAGGCTGGTCTTGAACTCCTAGCTTCAAGTGACCCTCCTGCCTTGGCCTCTCGAAGTGCTAGGATTGCAGGTGTGAGCCACCATGCCCAGTTATTTTTTTTTTCTGTATCCTTTTTATTAAAAACAGTTTCTAATATGTGTCTGGGAATGATGTTTTTGTGGATTAAGGGCCGTTCTTTTGAGCTGCTCCCTCTTGGGTCTCCTGGGTTTTTATTTCGGTTTAACTCAGTCATGCTTTCCTCAGTCAAGTCTGATTGTTCTCAAGATGCTTTCATGCCACTTACACAGCTTCTTTGGGAATAGCATTTTTTTTTTTTTTTTTGAGACGGAGTCTTGCTCTGTTGCCCAGGCTAGAGTGCAGTGGGGCGATCTCGGCTCACTGCCAGCTCCACCTCCCAGGTTCACGCCATTCTCCTGTCTCAGGCTCCCGAGTAGCTGGGACTACAGGCGCTGGCCACCATGCCCCCCTAATTTTTTGTATTTTTAGTAGAGACGGGGTTTCACCATGTTAGCCAGGATGGTCCCAATCTTCTGACCTCGTGATCCACTGCCTCAGCCTCCCAAAGTGCTGGGATTAAAGGTGTGAGCCACCACGCCCCGCCAGGAACAGCTTTGAAGGCATAAGTTGGCTTCCTTTTCTCTTTGTATTAATAATCTTCTTCCTCGGGCCGGGCGTGGTGGCTCACACCTGTTATCCCAGCACTTTGGGAGGCCGAGCTGGGCGGATCACTTGAGGTCAGGAATTCAAGTCCAGCTTGGCCAACATGGTGAAACCCTGTCTCTACTAAAAATACAAAAATTAGTTGGATGTGGTGGCACATGCCTGTAATCCCAGCTACTCCGGAGGCTGAGGCAGGAGAATCGCTGGAACCTGAGAGTTGGAGGTTGCAATGAGCCGAGATCGCACCACCGCAGTCCACCCTGGGCAACATAGTGAGACTGTGTCTCAAAATAATAATAATAATAATAATAATAATAATAATAATGATGATGATGATGATAATCTTCTCCCTCAACATTTAATGTCTTTTTCTTTCTCTTTCACATTCTGGCAAGTGTCTCTGCCAAGTCAGCCTCACAGATTCAACTTTCTAGCCTGCCATTTCTGCTCTTTTCTGCTGATGAAACAGTTCATTCTGCTTTGGCTCTGTTAGTTTATGAAATATTCCCTTATTGTAGTCCCACCGTCTCTTCATCCTGGCTCTTCCTTCTATCTTGCTGTGTCTTTTTCTCAGAGGTGGGTCTTAAATGTTTTTGGAGGCTGACTGCTTTCTGAAAGTTCCCTCTGGTTCCACGGTGATGCACGGTCACAGAGGCTGCTGGCCTGGTCTTCTGGACTCCATGTACCCTGACTATGGCATTTTATCGGAAGCTCTTGGTTGTCTCTTTAGAAAGCCAGGTTGAGCGGTTGCCCACAGAGAGCGTGTGCTCCTGCTTTCGGCCTTCTCATCGCCCCTCTGTCGTGGTGGATCCCCCTTCTTAGGTCTACAGGGAGAGGACAGGTCGGGGCACAGCATCTAACCGTTTTTATTGCCAAGGCCTTAAACAAGTACGGCTCTGTCCAGCTGCAGTAGAATTTTTCCTAATTTCATTGACTGGTTATCTGATATAACAGACCAGGAGTCACAAACTTGACATCAACAGACGACAGACAGGGCACAGACCTTGTTTGTTCTGACCTGCGCAGTGTTTAATATTGATCATTTTAGTGCTTCAAAATGGGTGTGTATCCTCTGGTTAAGCAAGTTCCCACCCCTCCCTGTTGTCTCCCCTCCCAGCCCCCTTCCCTCATTTACAGTTTCTGCTTGGGCCCTCAGTGTGTGGCCCTGCCCGACACAGTTAGAGGGTGTGACACCTACTCTATGTACATATGTAGAAAGCTGAAACTGGATCCCTTCCTTACACCTTATACAAAAATTAATTCAACATGGATTAAAGACTTAAATGTTAGACTTACTCAATTTCAGTGCACACTGCTACAAGGCTACACCTATTTTGGATCCCACCTTATCTCTTTAATTCTAAGGATGCCCCCCTGCGGAGGGGAGGATATTCATTCATTCACTGGGGCTGTAATGTGCCTGGCCAGAGCTTGTAGCTGTGAATATAGCACTGGATGTGACAGAGAGGGGGGCACCTGCCTTCTCTCTGAGGTTAAGCAAGGGAGAGTTATTCGTGTTTTGTAAGAAGTGTTGGTAACAGCTTGATAAAAACCCTTTCTTTATCTTCATCTTGATTCTCTGACTCCTTTGATAGTTACCTAGGATTCAATCACAATGATCAGTCTTTTTTTTCCTGTAAGGATGTGGAAATCAGATCAATTGAGCTAGTGGAAAAAAACGAGTATTTTGCTTTGTAACTATGAACCATTTTAGATGCGAGACTAGTTGAAGTAGGGCCGGTCACAGTGGCTCACGCTTATAATCCCAGCACTTTGGGAGGCCGAGGTGGGTGGATCACCTGAGGTTGGGAGTTCGAGACCAGCCTGGCTGACATGATGCAATCCCATCTCTACTAAAAACACAAAAATGGCCGGGCGCAGTGGCTCACGCCTGTAATCCTAGCACTTTGGGAGGCCAAGATGGGCGGATCATGAGGTCAGGAGATCGAGACCATCCTGGCTAACATGGTGAAACCCTGTCTCTACTAAAAATACAAAAATAAATTAGCCGGGCGCGGTGGTGGGCACCTGTAGTCCCAGCTGCTCAGGAGGCTGAGGCAGGAGAATGGCGTGAACCCGGGAGGCGGAGCTTGCAATGAGCCAAGATGGCACCACTGCACCCCAGCCTGGGCGACAGAGCGAGACTCCATCTCATGGATAGGAAGAATCAATATTGTGAAAATGGCCATACTGCCCAAGGTAATTTATATCCCCATCAAGCTACCAATGACTTTCTTCACAGAATTGGAAAAAACTACTTTCAAGTTCATATGGAACCAAAAAAGAGCCTGCATTGCCAAGTCAATCCTAAGCCAAAAGAACAAAGCTGGAGGCATCACACTACCTGACTTCAAACTATACTACAAGGCTACAGTAACCAAAACAACATGGTACTGTTACCAAAACAGAGATATAGACCAATGGAACAGAACAGAGCCCTCAGAAATAATGTTGCATATCTACAACTATCTGATCTTTGACAAACCTGACAAAAACAAGCAATGGGGAAAGGATTCCCTATTTAATAAATGGTGCTGGGAAAACTGGCTAGCCATATGTAGAAAGCTGAAACTGGATCCCTTCCTTACACCTTATACAAAAATTAATTCAACATGGATTAAAGACTTAAATGTTAGACCTAAAACCATAAAAACCCTAGAAGAAAACCTAGGCAATACCATTCAGGACATAGGCATGGGCAAGGACTTCATGTCTAAAACACCAAAAGCAATGGCAACAAAAGCCAAAATTGACAAATGGGATCTAATTAAACTAAAGAGCTTCTGCACAGCAAAAGAAACCACCATCAGAGTGAACAGGCAACCTACAGAATGAGAGAAAATTTTTGCAACCTACTCATCTGACAAAGGGCTAATATCCAGAATCTACAATGAACTCAAACAAATTTACAAGAAAAAAACAAACAACCCTATCAACAAGTGGGCGAAGGATATGAACAGACACTTCTCAAAAGAAGACATTTATGCGGCCAAAAAACACATGAAAAAATGCTCATCATCACTGGCCATCAGAGAAATGCAAATCAAAACCACAATGAGATACCATCTCACACCAGTTAGAATGGTGATCATTAAAAAGTCAGGAAACAACAGGTGCTGGAGAGGATGTGGAGAAATAGGAACACTTTTACACTGTTGGTGGGACTGTAAACTAGTTCAACCATTGTGGAAGACAGTGTGGCGATTCCTCAAGGATCTAGAACTAGAAATACCATTTGACCCAGCAATCCCATTACTGGATATATACCCAAAGGACTATAAATCATGCTGCTATAAAGACACATGCACACATATGTTTATCATGGCCCTACTCACAATAGCAAAGACTTGGAACCAACCCAAATGTCCAACAATGATAGACTGGATTAAGAAAATGTGGCACATATACACCATGGAATACTATGCAGCCATAAAAAAGGATGAGTTCATGTCCTTTGTAGGGACATGGATGAAGCTGGAAACCATCATTCTCAGCAAACTATCTCAAGGACAAAAAACCAAACACCGCATGTTTCTCACTCATAGGTGGGAATTGAACAATGAGAACACATGGACACAGGAAGGGGAACATCACACACCGGGGAATGTTGTGGGGAGCGGGGAGGGATAGCATTAGGAGATATACCTAATGCTAAATGACAAGTTAATGGGTGCAGCACAACATCATGGCACATGTATACATATGTAACACACCTGCACGTTGTGCACATGTACCCTAAAACTTATAATAAAAAAAAAATGAGCTGGTTGTGGTGGTGGGTGCCTGTAACCCCAGCTACTTGGGAGGCTGAGGCGGAAGAATCACTTGAACCCGGGAGGCAGAGGTTGCAGTGAGCCGAGATCATGTCATTGCACTCCAGCCTGGGTGACAAGAATGAAACTCTGTCTCAAAAAAAAAAAAAAAAAAAAAAAAAGACTATTTGAAATAAAAAAAATAAAAATCCAACTGTATGCTTGCATAGGACTAATTTAGCTGGGAGTTACTGAGCAGTTGGACAAACTATCATGAAAAAATTAGGCTGATCTCAGTTTTACAATATGCAGCTTCTGCTGCTGCTGCTTTTGTTGTTGTTGTTGTTTTAATTTTATTTGAGAGACGGTCTCACACTATTGCCCAGACTGGAGTGCAGTGGTACAATCTTGGCTCACTGTAAATTCCACCTCCTGGGCTCAAGCAGTCCTCCCACTTCAGCCTCCTGAGGAGCTGGGACTACTGGCGTGCACCACCATGTCTGGCTGATTTTTGTATTTTTGGTAGGGATGTTGCTCAGGCTGGTCTGGAACTCCTGCGTTCAAGCAATCCTCTCGCCTCGGCCTCCGAAAGTGCTGAGATTACAGGCGTGTCCCACCAATGCGACTTCTTGATTTGAAGTTTTTGTAGTTCATGTGTCTAAAGGATCTCTGGAGACCTCCTTGCCACTGGGGTACTGGTTGGAGAACAGTTCTGCACAGGAGATGTGCTTCTTTAGGGATTTGAAGAATCCTGGCTGTGCAGACCAATTTTCTACTTCTTGTCAGTTGAATGGTGAAAATACGTTAAGCAACTCTAGGGACATCATGCTGACTTTTCTTGGAACATACAGTGTAGATGCAGTAGCTTAGCCACCTGCAGATGCAAGCAATTTAGATGCAAAATGCATTACAACACGTGTGTTTGGCTCACTGCTTGGTGTTAGTAATGAGGTCAAAATATTTTCTGGTAGAGTCCTCCATTCATCTTATTGAACGTTTGTGTGCTAGAATTTGCAAAGTGTTTTTCAACAGTTATTTCTCCTTTGATAATGAAATGACAGCATTAACAGAATTCAGGGCTGTGAAAATGGATGCTGAAAACCCCAGAAGTTTATTAAGAGCCATCTAGGCATCCAGTGCTTGGCATTTGTAATTCTAGTGATCCTCATGCAGTTAATGTGAAGGTCAGTCATGGGTCAGGTCTCCTGATTCTATAGCTTCGGCCCTCCCCACCACCCTAGGCTTTTGCCTTTTGAGATATATTTATGGGCTAATTGAAAAAATTTTTAAAGAAGTGAGTCATGATTCTGAAAAGTTTAAGGGCACAAATTTATTGCTGAACTCATAAATCTTCCAAGAAACTTTCATAACCTCATTCTGATTTAATCACCTGGGAAGAAGTGCTAGATGCTTTCTTTGGTTACTAATGAATCACACTACCCTGTGTTGGCCCTAACATGGACAGAGACTACAGGATCTATCACCTCTATCATAGACTCTAAGGGCAGTGAGTGGTCCTCCTTTGTAAACTTGGGATTAGGCCGGGTGTGGTGGCTCACACCTGTAATCCCAGCACTTTGGGAGGCCAAGGCAGGCAGATCACTTGAGGCCAGGAGTTCAAGACCAGCCTGGCCAACATAGTGAAACCCTGTCTCTACAAAAAATACAAAACTTAGCCAGGCATGGTGGTGCATGCCTGTAATCCCAGCTACTTGGGAGGTTGAGGAGGGAGGATCACTTGAACCTGGGAGGTTGAGGCTGCAGTGAGCCGAGATTATGCCACTGCACTCCAGCCTGGGCGATAGAATGAGACCCTGTCTCAAAGAAAAAAAAAAAGTCTTGGGATTAGTGCAGACAGGGAGTCCTTACAAAAGATATTGTGGAATAATTGCTTATGAAGATGCTGATTTTGCAAGAAAGGGTAATGGACACCCGGGCCAAACCTAGTATTCAAAGCAAGCAGTCTCAAATGCAAAAAGTGCTGGTTGTCATATGGTTTAGGGATAAAAATACTGTGGTATTTTTACTTTATTCTTTAATCACAGATAGGCCCAAGAGATCCTCGAGTTTATGCCCAAATCTCTATATGCCAAATTAGCTCCTGTTTAAACTGCACAAGTAATCAGTTGGAATTAAATGAGATTAGATGGTTCTATTAGATGATTCGCGCTGGGTGACTAGGATTTTAATTTATCTACTACTTGTGTAGGTTCTGAAACCAGGGCTGGAGTCCTTTCAATGATTTGCAATGTTCATTCACTTAGGCACTTTCACCTTTTGCTCTTCCCTCACCTTAGCTGTTTTTCATTTTCTGTGATTGTATGTCTGTCTGTGTGTGTGTTTACTTATCGATGTTGTCCCCCTGTCTGATTAGCTCAGTCGACTGTAGCGTCTCAGATATGGATATTTTGGGCCCAGTGGTAACGGGCTGGAGCATGTGAGAGAGGAGATGAGCTGAAATGGGTCACTCACCAGAAAGGCAATTCTGCAAGTAAGGTGCGTTTATCAGGCGGGGGCCTTGTAATTCCTGCCCTTTGGATTTGCTTTCTGTCCCCTCCTCTAAGGATTAGACCTTGTTCTGTTTGCCAGGACTGAAGAGGCATCTTTAGAAATTGAATATGGAGAGGTGCAGCCCTTCAAAGGCATGGGAATTTACCACCCATGACTCCCTCTGGACTTGCCCTGATTTTTTATGTTCTGCTTCCCACAAGTACTCCAGGGGAAAACTTCTGCCTAGAGGCTGAGACTGCCTTAAGGTGTTTTGTGTTGATGTAGGGGATTAGATAATTGAGTTTCTGACTTTATGGATGCAAACTTTTCCCTGTCTTTGTAGAGACATATCACAGTTGTACACTTTATATATTTTTGGCTCTGAATGGTAATGACTGATTACCAAAATTCTGTTATAGGCCAGATGCTGTGGCCCATGCCTGTAATCCCAGCACTTTGGGAGGCCAAGGCAGGTGGATTGCTTGAGCTCAGCAGTTTGAGACCAGACTGGGCAACATAGCAAAACCCCGTCTCTACAAAAAAAAAAAAAAAAAAACACAAAAATCAGCCAGGTGTGGTGGCACGTGCCTTTAGTGTCAGCTACTCAGGAGACTGAGGTGGGAGGATCGCTTGAGCCCGGGAGGCAGGGATTGCAATGAGCTGAGATCGCGCCACTGCACTCCAGCCTCAACAACAGAGCCAGACCCTGTCTCAAAAAAAATTATGAAATTCTTAAATGCTCTTTCTATATTTTCCTTGTTCTAGTCACTAAGTATTGGTAGTAATCATTTATGTACTAATCAGAAAATAGTAGTGTCTAACCAGATGAAGGAGAGAAAGTTAGTTGATATCTTCTCACAATTACTAGCACTTCATAGAGAAAGATAGCATATTTTGAAAAACGTGCAGATTGGCATATATTTGTGATTTTACTTACATTAGCAAGCATTAATTTTCTAAAAAATCCACTTGAGTTCATGTATAGCCTGAAAGAACCTAATGGAGAATTTATTTCAGTCAATACTGTAATTTATAGAAGAGAATCAGTCATGAGTTGAAGTTTTAATTTTTTTCTTAAATTTGCATAACAAAGGAATTGGCCAGTTTTGTGGCACATTATTTTAAGGATGTGAAGATCTTATAATATTTACATGTTTGCCTTTTTATATCCTAAAAGGATATTAACAATTCTGCCTTTCTGAGATTGAGGTTGAGTATGGATTCCCCCAGAAAACCAAGAGGAAAACCCATGTTAGGACGTCAGTTTGGAGCAGTTAGCGTCTCGAGTGCCCTCTGTGCTGTCATGCATGTGACTAAGATGGTAGGAGTTAAAGTCCTGCCGTAGGGAGCTGCTGTCAGACCAGTGGGCCAAACAGGGCTCCTTTCCCATGATTCACAAGTGGTCTGCTCAGGTGGATCGCCTGAGGTCAGGAGTTCGAGACCAGCTTGGCTGACATGGCAAAAACCTATCTCTACTAAAAATACAAAAATTAGCCGGGTGTGGTGGCGGGCACCTGTAGTCCCAGCTACTCTGGAGGCTGAGGCAGGAGAATTGCTTGAACCCACGAGGGGGAGATTGAAGTGACTTGAGATCGTGCCACTGCACTCCAGCCTGGGCCACCAGAAAAACAACAACAACAACAAGAACAAGTTGTCCACTCAGATTTAAGCCCCCAAATCTCCATCAACACACATTGATCCCATATTCCATACTTCAGGTCCTCCCAAGAATCTTCTCAGGTAACCCTGCTCTGTGGGCTCTTGGAGAATGTTGTAAACACAAACTAACCTTAGCTTAACCTACAGCTGATCTCCCTCCAAGCCCAATGCATAACATCGAGTTTTCCTGTAGCCCATCACTTGTGCCAAGAGCGTCCCACAGTTGACATGATACATTGGTCATTTGTGGTGATGTTGAGATGGAGGCCTGCTCTGTCACCCAGGCTGGAGTGCAATGGTGCAATCTCGGCTCACTGCAACTTCCGTCTCCCAGGTTCAAGCGAAAATTCTCCTGCCTCAGCCTCCCGAGTAGCTGGGATTACAGGCATGTGCCACCATGCCTGGCTAATTTTGTGTTTTTAGTAGAGACAGGGTTTTGCCATGTTGGCCAGGCTGGTCTCGACTTCCTGACCTCAAGTGATCCACCCACCTTGGCCTCCCAAAGTACTGGGATTACAGGCGTGAGCCACCGCGCCTGGCTGATACATTGGTCATTTTGATGATAATAATTTTGTTTCTCTTTGTGTATTTGTTCACAAAATATTAAGTACTGGATTCGTGCTGGGCACAAGTATATGTTAATATGCTTAACATTCACTTTTTTTTTTTTTTTTTTTTTTGAGACGGAGTCTGGCTCTGCCGCCCAGGCTGGAGTGCAGTGGCGAAATCTCAGCTCACTGCAAGCTCCACCTCCCGGGTTCACGCCATTCTCCTGCCTCAGCCTCCCGAGTAGCTGGGACTACAGGTGCCCGCCACCATGCCTGGCTAATTTTTTGTATTTTTAGTACAGACGGGGTTTCACCGTGTTAGCCAGGATGGTCTTGATCTCCTGACCTCGTGATCCGCCTGCCTCGGCCTCCCAAAGTGCTGGGATTACAGGCATGAGCCACCACACCTAGCCCATATTCACATATTATACATTGAACGTACACATGACATGCAAGATAAAACACATAGCGGTGGGAGTTGCACAGCTTTGCTGCTGATACTGAAATCACTTCGCCTCTATGGGGAATCTGTAAATTTAAGTGTTTAAGCCAGGAAATTGATTGCTGAGGTCCATTGCAAGACTAATATTTTGTGACCTTACCTAACCCTTAAAAGGGGTAAATATAGCACTATTCATATCTTCTCTCTCTGAAGCTTCCTTTCTGCTCATTTTTTCAGGAATGTCAAAATAAAAACTGGAGAATGGTTCTATGAGGAACGAGCCAAGAAATTTCCAACTGGAGGTAAATGCTCTTTACTTTTTTAGTAAAGTAAAATGATCTATTCCTAGTTTTAAAATATTTGATGTTAAGACTTTGGAATATAAGCAACATGATGGGTGTAGTCTGCGGGCCCCTATGTCTTGCCATTCCATTTGCTGATGCTCTCACTGTAATTCACGCTGCTCATTCCCTCTGCTCGCTACTCTTCCCTCTGCTGCATTTCTACCTCTGAGGTTGGCCCTATTCCTTTTTTTTTTTTTTTTTTTTTTTTGAGGCGAAGTCTTGCTCTGTTGCCAGGCTGGAGTGCAGTGGCACAATCTCGGCTCACTGCAACCTCCATCTCCTAGGTTTAAACGATTCTCCTGCCTCAGCCTCCGGAGTACCTGGGATTACAGGCACGTGCCACCACAGTCGGCTAATTTTTCTATTTTTAGTAGAGACGGGGTTTCACCATGTTGGCCAGGATGGTCTCGATCTCCTGACCTCATGATCCGCCCGCCTCGGCCTCCCAAGGTGCTGGGATTACAGGCGTGAGCCACTGGGCCCGGCCAGGTTGGCCCCATTCTTTAAGGCTCGTGCACTACAAGGTTTCCCTGGCTTCCTGCTTCTAGGGGTGATGTCCCCTCCTCTGAAACACCATCAGTGCTGGGTTTGTAATTCTCTTCTGTAATTGTTGCAAAGTTCCTTATATTGTAGCATTGTTTGTGCACTTCTGTTTCTCTCTACAAGCAGTAACTGTGATTTTAAAATCTTGTTAGCCCATATTGCGCCAAAGCACAATACCTTGTTTATAATACTTGAGCAAGATGATTGAATCAGTGAAGACCACAGTGAGTGAAGAGCGTTTGAACTGAGCAGAGGTTGATGCTTGTGGAGTGAGCGCATGTTGCGGTAATATGGGTGGAAGCATTTTGTCCGTATACTGTGAATGTCTTATAATGAGATGTTGACCTAAAGAAGGAAACTGAGGCAAAACTAATACAGGTGGAGAGTTTATCTGGGCCAAGGCTGAGGTCTGCAGCCCAGGAAACACTTCCAAGGGCTCTGGAGAACAAAGGAGAGAAGGGTGAATCAGGAGAGGGGCGATTACAAAAGCTGGTTTTCAGGAATTCTCGTGGGTTTACGGAAATACCCGTAATTTATTCATGATTCATGATTGGCTATCCATTGCTGAGCTATAGGCTGTGGGTGATGGTGTCCAGTGTGTGGCATTGTTAGGATAATTTATGGCTATTGGTGGTGACACTCAATCTAGAGTCCGTAGAGCAAGTGGCTTTGAAATGATTAGCCCAAGTTGGGGGACGTGATTGCGGGCTCATTTCGGTGTCTCTCTAGGCCTGATACTTTAAAGGAGGCTTGTGTTTCTTAGATTAAAAGTTTATTTTCTTTTTCAAAAGTATTTGCAATGTATGTTGTGCCAGTGTAATTGGTAGCTGGGACCTGGAACTGTGGAGAGAATGATTTGTGCTTTGATCACAGAAGAGCTGTGATGGGGCATCAGGACAAAGGCGCACACAGGCACCGTCACGGTGGAGTGCAGGCAGGTGCTGTGGGAACCACATCTGACTATATCAGGGATGCGGGCAGCACCCCTCCTCTGTGATGTGATGTTGGGGACCTAGACTCACAGCCTGACTCAGAGGGCAGCGGTGGCTCTTTTCTAGAAAAAGTGGCAATTTGCAGGTAGGGAAATAAGCCATAGAACCTCACCCAAAAGTTTGTTGGCAGTAAAGGAAGCCATTCATTTGGGTTGATATTCAGCTTTTATAAAGGGTGGATTTGCCCAGGTGTAGATTTGGTTGGTACTAAATTATCCCATGGTTTATATTCCTGGCTCTTCTTAAAAAAAAAAAAAAAAACGCTGCTTCTGCCAAGTTTATTGGAAACCTGGAGGAAAAAACTAATACTAAGGGTCATGTCAGGCAATGGAATGAAGCAGGGTTGCTGTTTCCTCTAAGCCAGTGTTTCTCAACAGCTTCTTACCGCCACCCTCTCCCCTACCCCACATAGCCTTTTTAGAGACTTTTTCAAAGTTGCTACCATAACCTTTTGATATCACAGATATCATATATCTATGTACTGAGGCCTTTTGGAGAGCCACAGACGGTTGAAATAGGTAAGATTTGCTACCAATCTTTGTCCCCTTAGGGGTGCCGTCATCCCATGTGGAATGTGTGACCTTGGCAAAGCAACTGCAGCACAGGACTTTTCTCTGTTTTTATTGCTTTTATGTCTCTCTCTCTCTCTCTTTTTTTTTTTTTTTTAGATGGAGTCTCGTTCTGTCATCCAGGCTGGAGTGCAGTAGCATGATCTCAGCTCACTGTAAACTCCTCCTCCTGGGTTCAAGGGATTCTCCTGCCTCAGCCTCCTGAATAGCTGGGATTACAGGCACACGCCCCATGTCTGACTAATTTTTGTATTTTTAGTAGAGATGGAGTTTCACCTTGTTGACTGGTCTTGAACTCCTGACCTCAAGTGATCTGCCCACCTTGGCCTCCCAAAGTGCTGGGATTACAGGTATGAGGCACTTCACCCGGCCACTTTTGTGTTTCTTTAAAATACTTTTTTGACCGGGCCCGGTGGCTCACACTTGTAATCCCAGCACTTTGGGAGGCCGAGGTGGGCAGATCATCTGAGATTGGGAGTTCGAGACCAGCCTGACCAACATGGAGAAACCCCGTCTCTACTAAAAATACAAAATTAGCCGGGCATGGTGGCACCTGCCTGTAATCCCAGCTACTCGGGAGGCTGAGGCAGGAGAATTGCTTAAAGCTGGGAGGCGGAGGTTGCTGTGAGCCGAGATCATGCCATGGCACTCCAGCCTGGGCAACAAGAGTGAAACTCCATCTCAAAAACAAACAAACAAACAAAAACAAAACCTTTTTGTTGGTGGGCTGGAGCCTTCTTCAGAAGGTAGACTCTACCCTTTTCCACATCAATTCCTAGCTTATAAACAGTAGTGCTGTAGGAGGTGAAGTTTGTCATTTCTCAATGCCAGCTAAGTGCAGACATCTGCTTCACTCAAAAAGTTTTCTACGTCGTTAGAAGTTCTAGCATCATTATTTCAGGTAAGTAGTTTTCATGTGTGCATGAATGTATGTGTGTGTGTTTGTGCACACACGTTACCATCTTGTCATCTTTTCAGCACTTCATGTCTCCTGAGTGAGTGGGAGAAGTATGTTATCAAGGTGACTTAAGATAAAAAGGGAATTAGGAAAGAGGTGAGACTGATGTCTTAGGGTTTTCTTTCTTGCCTTATAACTTTAAGAATAAAAACTTCAGTAAGGACAAACAAACCAGGGTCAGGAAGATCAACCTCAGCATAAATCATTCTTTTTTGCTGATGTCGTTTCTATCAATGTATAAAATAAACACCAGAAAAGCCCTAACTTTCCCTCCTTCTCTACAATGCTTCCTCAAATGCCAGGGTGCCTCATTTTCCCATTGTCCTGTTTCAGTAGAGTTGGGGTAAGAGGCATGGAACTATGGGGGAAAATGCCAGGTTAGGAGCACACAAGTAGTGCTATGAGCCAGACCAGGTTGGGTGGAGTTTGCAGCGGGTGCGTCAGGAAAGGTAACAAGGATCAGGTGACAGAGGTTTAGGTGGACAGGCAGGAATTCCACCACGCTCCTATTTGTGGCCCTAAAAGAGAACCAGGTGCAGTCATTGAGGAGTTGAATTGAATTTGTGCTGCAGCAGTTAAGATCCACTTAGGGAAATAGAAACTGTCTGGTTATTTGAATAAGAATTTACTTTAGGGATTGGTTAGACAGGAATTGGAGGCAAAAAGGGAATAGTGAGAGAACAGAGCTAGCAGCTGCAGGAGGCAGACACCCTCCGACCCTGTTGAGCTGATGCTGGCCAGACACAGGTCGGAAGGAAGGCATGAGCCCCTTCTCCCTCCTCCTGGCCCTGGTCTCCCTCTGGAAGCCCCCACTGGACCCTAATAGGGAGGCAACTGCAACCTCAATTCTCTGATGTGTTCCGGAAAAAGTGGTTTTGCATGTTCTCTAGTGTTTTTGTTGTCATGGTACCGGCAATACTCTTTCCAGCCCTCTATATCCTGAGCAGAAGTTAGAAAAACTAGATGGTGGTTTAAACCACAAAAGTGTACAGACAGCTCCAGTCTGTGCCTCTTTCCACGCACTGGTTATCTATTGCTGTATAGCAAATTCCCCTCAAACCTAGTGACATAAATCAAGTAACATTCTTTGACAGTTTCTGTCTTCAGTGGAAGGCTCGCCTGGGGCTGGGGGATCTGTGCTCTTGGGGCTTACCCTCATACCTGGCCAGTGACTGCTGGTATTGGGAGGAGGACTTGGTTCCTCACCATGGGGATATCTCCACAGGGCTGCTTGAGTGTCCTCATGACATGGCGGCTGGCTTCTCCCAGGGCAAGTGATCCAAGAGAGAGAAAAGCAGAGCCCACAATATCTTTTATGGTCTAGCTTCAGAAGCCACACCCTGTCATTTCTGCTATGCCCTATGGGTCCCACAGGTCAGCCCTAGTCAGAGAGGACAAAGGGTCTGAATATCAGGAAGCAAGAATCACTGGGACCGTCTGTGTGCTACCAAATCCTGTGTTCCTTGTCTTGGGAGAATGGCGACACCTCTCACTCTGTCTCCAAATCCACAGACCTGAGAATCAAACTTGACTCCTTTGTTCCTCATTCTGCCGCTACATCTGGTCAGTCAGCAAATCCTGACATTTCTGCCTCCTGAGTCTCTGGAATCTTCCTCTGCCCTTCATTCTCACTTCCAACGTAGCAGCTCCTAACTGCTTCCCCCTTGGTCCATCTTCTATTCTGTGAAGAGAGGGAGCTTCCTTTTCTCTTTGAAAGGAAGTTACTTACTTTCTGATTACAGAAGTAATGCAAACCTTGCAAGCATTTGGGAAACACAGAATAGTATTTAGATGTAATGGAAATACTACCACAATCCCAAACTACTGTAAATTACATGCACGTGTACACACCTGCACACTCCCAGCCTTCTTTCTAGGTAAGCCTGTGTATATGTGTGTGCACAGATAGACTTATCCAATTTCAAATGTATTGTGATCAGACTCTATGTGGTTTTATTTTGCTTTTACAATTCAACTTGGCATAAACATTTTCCTATGTTATTAAGACTTCTTCCAAAATGTATTGATGACTCCATAAAATACACCAAATATATGCACTATAGTTTATTTAACCTGTTCCCGAGTGTCTGTGAGTATATCACTGTATTTGATTTTTCATGTTATAGATAACTCTGTGATGAACGTCTTGTACAGGTATTTTGACATGTCTGTTTATTTTTGGGGGGTAAATTCTTAGAAGAATGATTGGTCAAGTGTATGAATACTTGAAAGGCTTTTGATGTTTTGCCAAATTACCCTCTGGGAGTGTGTGCTTATTTACAACAGGCTGGCAGGGTACACAAATTTCCTTCTTCCCACACTCTGGCCCCCATTACATTCTGAGCTTTGAAGCATGATTTCAAATTACATTCACGTAAAAAACTAGACGCCAGGCTCAGTGGCTCATGCCTGTAATCCCAGCATTTTGGGAGGTCAAAGCAGGAGGATCGCTTGAGCCCAGGAGTTCAAGACTAGCCTGGGCAGCATAGTGAGATCCTGTCTCTAAAAAAATTAAATGAAATTAAAAAATTAAAACCTAGAAAATGAAGAAAATCATAAAGAGCAATGTTAAAAATACAGCAGCTTCACCCAGAGAACAATTGTTGACATTTTAGTATATATTATTTCTGTTCTTTTGTGAGTGTATGTATCTATGCTTGTGGGTGCATATCTGTATGTGTGGATATATGTGTGTGTATACACACATATACATAGACTTTTTTGAAGTATTTAGGTTGAACCATAAGAAATTGGTATTTTTAGGCAAAAAATTATTGAATAGAGGCAATTTCACATGAGTCAGGCTAATATATTTACATAATTGAAATCAAATTGTATGTACAGTTTTATCCTAATGTTTCTTCATGTAGTAATTTATAAGGAACATTTTCAGTGTCCATAAATATCATTGGCTATATGATTTCTGATGAGTGTATCTCACCCCGTCATAGGAATGTGTCATCATTTGTTTAACCAAATAACTATTGTTGGATAGTTAGGGGATTTCCAGCTTTCTGTTGCATTTTTGAAAGTTTATAAGGTTATTAAAATGAGAATAATGCAAAGAATATCCTTGTAGATATCTTTTTGGCACATCTCTGAATATTTCTAGAAAGAGAACAAGATGAAGGTTAGGAATGTTGCCTCCTTTAGAAAGGGTGTGGAATTATCCTTAAAAATAAACCAACATGCAAACCAATAGATAACTTTATCAGTTTGGCAAAACAACATTGGTCATGCAAAATGGTTTTCTCATCGTTTTGATTTGAATTCATCTCATCACGAATAAGATTGAGTATCTTCCACTTTTCAACCTTCTGTAGATGTTCTTGGTATGTGAAGGCGATTAGTCCTTTTCAATCATGTTAGTTGCATGTTATCTTCCTAGTACATGGCCTTCTTTATAATTTTGTTTTTAACACAAAGAAGTTTTTTGTTTGCTTGTAGGCAAATCTCCTTTTCCCGTATAATTTCTTTTGCTTTTATGCTTCGAGACTTCTTCCTTATCCTGTGATAGGTTAAATATCCACATTAATTTTCTTCTAATTTTTACTTAACTTTTTTTTTTTTTTCCCCTTGAGACAGAGTCTCACTCTGTCACCCAGGCTGGAGTACCATGGCGCAATCTTGGTTCACTGCAACCTCCACCGCCTAGGTTCAAGCGATTCTTCTGCCTCAGCCTCCCAAGTAGCTGGGATTATAGGCACATGTCACCATGCTCAGCTGATTTTTGTATTTTTAGTAGAGACGGGGTTTCATTATGTTGGCCAGCCTGGTCTTGAACTCCTGGCCTCAAGTGATTCGCCTGCCTTGGCCTCCCAAAGTGCTGGGATTATAGGCCTGAGCCACCATGTTAACTCTTTACAATCATCAGGAGGCCCTATCTAATTTTTTTTCCTCCCAATCCTTGATGTTCCTGGTACCATTTGTTACATAACCATTCCCTTTCCCATTGCGTTGTAACCCAGGGCCACTGATTGGCACAGCGTGGGGCACCACTCTCCTTGTGCCCAGCCCTGCGCTCCAGCGGGTGCTGTCTCATAGAGGACACACGGTGCCCTCTCCTTCACCTGCAACTCTTGGCAATTTGGCCCTAGCCAGATTTTGAATGTTTGAGAGCAGGAGCTATGAGTAAAGGAATAAGTGAATAAATAAATTGAGCAGGGATCTGCTCATTTGGCCACAAAAAGTGCTGTTAGAGGGAGTAGTGTCCATTGTCAGTGCCCAGCACTGAGTAGGCACCTTACAAATGTAGACATCCTTCCCTTTTTGACACGGGGAAACCTAAAGCTAAATGTAACATTCAGTTGCAGTAATTCCAGGAATCATTACACCCTCTGCACCCAGTTTCCTTTTTATTAGCTTTTACTTATTTCTCTTTTGATGATCTTATTGGATATGTGCAATTTAAGATAAAATGCCCCCCAGATTTCCTTGGAAGTAGACATGCTATAAGAATCTAGTGAAGAATAATAAATTGTGGTAATATGTGTTGTGCTATTTTTTCAACTATTAAAACAATTTAAAAACAAGAAAAAATGAGCCTCAGTTCTTCATTTTGTAGAGCGATAGTACAAAAAATTTTAAATATTTTGATTTATTTAAAAATTTTTCTGATTATAGGCTGGCTTTTTCCCCTAAAATTTCATAACTGGATATTTAGTTTTGTGGTCTTAAAATAATTTCTTTGATGCCACCGTGGTGGTTCATCTGTAGTACATTCGAATTATCAAAGCACCCAGACCTTCATAGGCTCTCTTGCCTTTAGGAAGCTCCCCAGGACAACCTGGCATCATCACCTTCTGTGCCTCCATCCACGGGCATTTGGCAATCCGTGCAGAGGGTTTTTAATGTGGTTCCTGGACCCACGCTCCAGGATCAGCTGCAAACTGATTCAAATTCAACCTTCCTGGCCTCACACACACAGGTTCTAATTTGGTGGGGCCAGATGGGGTTCAAGAGTGAATGTTTGGCTAAGGGCGGTGGCTCATGCCTGTAATCCCAGCACTTTGGGAGGATGAGGTGGGAGGATCGTTTGAGGCCAGGAGTTTGAGGCCAGCCTGGTCAACATGGTGAAACGCTGTCTCTAATAAAAATACAAAAATTAGCTGGACATGGTGACACACGCTTGTAATCCCAGCTGCTCGGGGGGTTGAGGCAGGAGAATCGCTTGAACCTGGGAGGCGGAGGTTGCAGTGAGCCAAGATCATGCCACTGCATCCAGCCTGGGCAGCAACTGAGACTCCATCTCAAAAGAAAAAAAAAAAAGTGACTGTTTAACAGTTCCCCAAGTAACTTTTTTAATGTACTTTAAGTAAAGTAACAAAATTAGTAAACAATTATGATAGAACTTTTTTAGATCACTAATAACTAGAAAACAAGCTGAAAATTCATCTCTCCTCTTTTGGCATCTGCTAAGCGTATAGAAATGATGCCCTCTTCTGGCTCCTCCCTGTAAATGCACCTCTTTTACTTTTTTTCTTTTTTTTAACAACCATGACATTCTGTTACTTGATGTACAAGCTTAAAAGCAGAAAGATGACAATATTAATATTAAACTTTTTTTTTTCTTTTTTGAGACGGAGTCTCGCTCTGTCGCCCAGGCTGGAGTGCAGTGATGTGATCTCGGCTCTCTGCAAGCTCCGCCTCCCGGGTTCACGCCATTCTCCTGCCTCAGCCTCCTGAGTAGCTGGGACTACGGGCACCTGTCACCACGCCTGGCTAATTTTTTGTATTTTTAGTAGAGACGGGGTTTCACCGTGTTAGCCAAGATGGTCACGATCTCCTGACCTCGTGATCGGCCCGCCTCGGCCTCCCAAAGTGCTGGGATTACAGGCGTGAGCCACCGCGCCCGGCCAATATTAAACTTTCTTAAGTTAAGAAATAGTTGTAATTTCTTAATGCCTGTAATTCCAGCACTTTGGGAGGCCGAGGCGGGCGGATCACGAGGTCAGGAGATCGAGACCATCCTGGCTAACACGGTGAAACCCCGTCTCTACTAAAAATACACAAAAATTAGCCGGGCGTGGTGGCGGGCGCCTGTAGTCCCAGCTACTTGGGAGGCTGAGGCAGGAGAATGGTGGGAACTTGGGAACTGGAGCTTGCAGTGAGCCCAGATTGTGCCACTGCACTCCAGCCTGGGCGACAGAGCGAGACTCCGTCTCAAAAAAAAAAAAAAAAAAAAAAAAAAAAAAAAAAAAAAGGGTTAAATGTAATAGATAAGCAGTCTACTCAGACTTTCACTGTATTTCTAATAGTTAGGGAAATAAAATAATTTAGAAAGGCTAAGGCTTAACATAGCCTCTGATAATGCTCTCAATGATTCATCATGTAACTAACCAGGTTAATTATTGTATCTTATAATTATGAAGGAAAATGACCTTTATCCCTCCCTCCCAGCAGTAAACGTGATTGAGTTCTTCAAGTGACTTTTCTAAGTTGTATTCTTCTGCATGGGCAGTTTAGACATGATCCGTCCCATCACAGGGTTATGAGGACGGCATCAGATTGGCTGTGTGGGCTTGAAACACTCAGGCTCATGAATTAAAAGAAGCAGGTGCCAGGCCGGGCGCGGTGGCTCACGCCTGTAATCCCAGCACTTTGGGAAGCCAAGGAGGGCGGATCACGAGATCAGGAGATGGAGACCATCTTGGCTAACGTGGTGAAATCCCGTCTCTACTAAAAAAAAAAAAAAAAAAATACAAAAAATTAGACGGGCATGGTGGTGGGCGCCTGTGGTCCCAGCCACTCGGCAGGCTGAGGCAGGAGAATGGCATGAACCTGGGAGGTGGAGGTTGCAGTAAGCCGAGATCGTGCCACTGCACTCCAGCCTGGGCGACAGAGCGAGACTCCGTCTCAAAAAAAAGAAAAAAAAAAGCAGGTGTCAGTCAATACGTAGCTGACTCTATCCCAGTGCCCTGCCTGCCTCTCCTCTCCGTTGGTTTGCTCAGTAAACACCCCTCATCCCTGCAATTCATCCAATGGATTCCACAAGGATGATTCTGTAAAGCTTTCTTTGAATTACAAATGGAGTCCATAGTTTATGTGTGCTTATACTCCTAAGAGGATGTCTTTATGAAGTCATGTTTATTTCCCAGATAAAAATTTTAAAAATTTTACATAGACTTTTGTTTTATTTTTTTGAGACAGCGTCTCATTTTGTCACCTAACCTGGAGCACAGTGGCGGGATCTTGGCTCACTGCAGCCTCAAGTTCTTTGGCTCAAGAAATTCTCCCACTTCAGCCCCCCAAGTAGCTGGGATCACAGGCATGCACCACTACACCTGGCTAATTTGTTTTGTTTTGTTCTGCTGACATGGAGTCTCACTCTGTCACCCAGGCTGGAGTGCAGTGGTGCGATCTTGGCTCACTGCAACCTCTGCCTCCCTTCAAGCGATTCTCCTATCTCAGCCTCCTGAGTAGTGGAGATTACAGGTGCATGCCACTACACCCAGCTGACTTTTGCATTTTTAGTAGAGATGGGGTTTCACCATGTTGGCCAAGCTGGTCTGAAACTCCTGACCTCAAATGATCCACCTGCCTCAGCTTCCAAAAGTGCTGGGATTACAGGTGTGCCACTGAATCCAGCCTTTCTTTCTTTTCGTTTTCTTTCTTTCTTTCTTTCTTTTTGGTAGAGACAGGGTTTTGCCGTGTTGCCCAGGCTGGTCTCGAACTCCTGAGCTCAAGTGATCCACCTGCGCCGGCCTCCAAAAGTGCTGGGATTACAGGTGTGCCACTGCATCCAGCCTTTCTTTTTCTTTTCTTTTTTTTTTTTTTTTTTGTAGATACAGGGTTTTGCCATGTTGCCCAGGCTGGTCTCGAACTCCTGAGTTCAAGTGATCCACCTGCCTTGGCCTCCCAAATTGCTAAGACTGTAGGCGTAAGCCACTGTGCCTGGCCTGCTTTTATTTTAAAGGAAAGGTGGATCCTATTCTTGAATATTTTGTTACTACTCTCCTTAAGAGGAAAGATAAACACATCACCACTAAAAGAAGTGTGTGTCTTGGTAGTGTTTTCCCAGCAGATTGGATTGCTTTTCGTGTCTCAGAGATTTTTAGACAGGTCCATTTAAACTAAGTAGAGCCAAGACTATCAAATCAGATTTTATGATTAATGTAATAAGACCTTGCCCTTCAAAATTTTTTGCTTTCTCCCTGTGTTTCTAGATAATAATCTTCCTGAGACAGGCTCTTGATTTTATTCTTTTTTTTTTCTTTTTTTGAGATGAAGTTTCTCTCTGTCACCCAGGCTGGAGTGCAGTGGAGTGATATTGGCTCGCTGCAACCTCCGCCTCCTAGGATCAAGCAATCCTCCCTCTCAGCCTGCCAAGTAACTGGGACCACAGGTGCACACCACCACGCCCAGTTAGTTTTTCTATTTTTAGTAGAGACGGGGTTTTGCCATATTGCCCAGGCTGGTCCTGAACTCCTGGGCTCAAGTGATCTGCCCACCTCGGCCTCCCAAAATGCTGGGGTTACAGGCATGAGCCACTGCACCTGGCTGATTTTATTCATTTTTGATTTCATGATGCCTTTGGCTTTGCACATAGTAGCAACACAAAAATTGAATTGATTAGAAGGTCCAAGTCACTTTGAATACATGAATTTAACCTAGACATTTTTTGTATCTCAAGTATCTTAACTGGATGACTGGAGTTTCCCCGATGCTTTCTGAGCGCCTGCGTTCCTTCCAGGCCTGCTTCTTTGTCTGTATGTCTCCTGATGTCCTCTGAGCCCTGTCCGTCACTCCATGATAATGAGGTCACTTTAGGCAGCCTACTTCTTGGTCCTGAATTGTCACGACTACTCCACTACTTACTTGCTTCATTGGGTTTTGATTCACTGTTTTTGGAATGGAGGAAGAACCATGATTAGGTGGGCTGGTTATCAGGTTCGTCAATATTTTATTTTACTAAATACTCCCTGCTCTTTTGGGAGTTGGCAAACAACAGCCTGCAAGCCAAATCTGGCCCATCACCCTGCTTTTGTAAATAAAGTTTTATTGGAACAAGGCCATGTTCACTCATTCTCATATCCATGGCTGCTTTTGCAACAGGTTGAGTAGTTGCAACAGAGACCTTACGGCTGGCAAAGCCTGAAATTTTCTACCAAAAAATTTACAGAAAAAGTTTGCTGACCTCTACTCTAGAAGATCAGTTGATAAAATACAACAACGTTTTCATGCCCATCATTATTTTTCCTATTTCAATGAATAGCATGGAAACCAAGGTGAAGTAATTGAACTGAAGGGATTTCTGAATGAAGGATTCATGTGTTCATATGTTTAGACAAAATTACTCATTAGACTAGTTTTTAGGGAGTAATTTGCTGCTGTTAAACTACCTCTTCATATGAATAATTTTTTAAAAGAGCAGACACATATATACTTAAATAGGAAATAATTTTGAATTTAATAACTTCATGTTCATTTTTAAAATTGTGGCAAAATATGCACAATATAAAATTTGCCATTTTAGCCACTTTTAAGCATTAAGTTCATTGGCATTAAGTATATTTGCATTGTTATGCAAACATCACCACCATCTGTTTCTAGAGCTTTTTCATTCTGCTATATTGAAACCCATTAAACAATAACTCTCCATCCTCCCCTTCCCCCACTGTCCTACATTCTGTCTTTATGAATTTGACTACTCTAGGTACCACATATAAGTGGAATCATAATGTATTTGTTCTTTTGTATCTGGCTTATTTCACTTAGCAAAATTTCCTCAGGGTTCATTCATGTTGTAGAGCATGTATCAGAATTTCATTCCTTTTTGTGGATGAATAGTATTCTGTGTCATGGATATACCATGCTTTGTTTATCCATTCATCTGCTGATGGACATTTGGGTTGTTTCCACCTCTTGACCATTGTGAATAATGCTGCTGGGAACATTGGTGTACAAATATTTATTAGAGTTCCTGCTTTAAATCCTTTTGTGTTTATACTCAGAAGTGGAATTACTGGATCAAATGGTAATTCTATGTTTAATTTATTGAGGAACT
Source organism: Homo sapiens (assembly GCF_000001405.40). NCBI lineage: Eukaryota > Metazoa > Chordata > Mammalia > Primates > Hominidae > Homo > Homo sapiens. The sequence goes on from NC_000006.12 coordinate 158,696,100, forward strand.
GCCATGGAATTTTCAGCATCTGCTGCCCTATTTTATTATACTTCCCCACTAGCAATGCACAAGGGTTCCAATTTTTTCACAACCACACTAACACTTATTTTATTAACACTTTTTTTTTTGAGATGGAGTCTCACTCTGTTGCCAGGCTGGAGTACAGTGGTGCTATCTCGGCTGACTGCAATTTCTGCCTCCAGGGTTCAAGCGATTCCCGTGTCTCAGCCTCCCGAGTAGCTGGGACTACAGGTGCATGCCACCACGCCTAATTTTTTTTTTTTTTTGTATTTTAGTAGAGATGGGGTTTCACTGTGTTGGCCAGTATGGTCTTCATCTCCTGACCTCGTGATCTGCCTGCCTCGGCCTCCCAAAGTGCTGGGATTACAGGTGTGAGCCACCGCACCTGGCCAACACTTATTTTTATAACACTTATTTTATATTTTCTTGATAGTAGCCACCCTAATGGGTGTGAAGTGGTATCTTGTTGTGGCTTTGATTTGCATTTCCCTAATAATTAGTGATGTTGAACATCTTTTCATGTGCTTATTGGCCATTTGTACATCATCTTTGGAGAAATGTCTATTCAAGTTCTTTGCCTTTTTTTTTAATTGGATTGTTTTGTTTCTTAAAAACAAAAAAAGAACAAAGCTGGAGGACTCACGCTTCCAGATCTCAAAACTTACTACAAAGCTACAGTAATCAAAACAGTGTGGTACTGATATAAAGACGGACATATAGACCAATGGAATAGAATAGAAAGCCTAGAAATAAAGCCATGCACATATGGTCAAATGATTTTTGAGAAGGGTGCTAAGACCATTCAGTAGGGAAAGGATAGTTTTTTCAACAAATGGCACTGGGAAAACTGGATATCCACATACAAAAGAAAAAAGTTGGCTTATTTCTTAGCCAACTTTTTTCTTAGTTACCTTATTTCACTTAGCAAGTGCTAAGTGAAATAAGGTAAGCCAGACCCTTACCTAACAACATATATAAAAATTAACCCAAAATGCATCAAATACCTAAAGATAAGAGCTCTTGTTTTCTTAGAATAAAATGGGGAAGCTGGGCGTGGTGGCTTACACCTGTAATTTCAGCACTTTGGAAGGCCCAGGTGGGTGGATTGCTTGACCCCAGGAGTTCGAGACCAGCCTAGACAACATGGTGAAACCCCATCTCTACGGAAAAAAAAAAAAAAAAAAAAAAATTAGCTGAGCATGGTGGTCCACGCCTGTGGTCCCAGCTACTTGGGAGGCTGAGGTGGGAGGATCATTTGAATCTATGGTGAGCCAAGATCGCGCCACTGCACTCCAGCCTGGGTGATGGAGCAAAGACCCTGTCTCAAATCAGTCAATCAATCAGGGGGAAAGATTCACGACATTGGATCTGATAATGATTTCTTAGCTATGACAGCAAAGGCACAGGGAACAAAATAAAAAATAGAAAAATTGGACATCATCAAAATGAAAAACTTTTGTGCATCAAAGGACACTATTAACAAAATAAAAAGGTAAGCAACAGAATGAGAGAAAATATTTTCAGATCACATATCTGATAAGAGATTAACATCTAGAATATATAGAGAGCTCCTAGAGCCTATATTCATTTTTTTTAGAGAAAATCCAAAGGATGCTGAAAAGCAGTTTAGACCTTCTTGCCCCAGGTACTCACCAAACCTGAACCAGTCACCCTCGGCCTTGAGTGTATGTCAGTGGAAGACTTACTGCCCAGAGTGTCTGCCTGATAGGACATGGGTAGCTTCATTAAAGGGAAAAGGTATTGTTCTCTTCTGTCACTAAGCAGAAGAGTAATGTCTGGTGGCAGAAGGATGCTGGATAGGGGATGCTTCTTGTCCACAGGATTGTAAATCTTCTGTTAGTAATTGTTGCTCCCTGGAAGGCACTGGTTGCTGATTCACAGTCCTGCTCTGTGTCTTCTTTCATCCTGGGACAGTGGCTTGGAGCCAGTGCTATCTTAGCTCAAATTTTCCTAAGGACTAAAATATGCTTAAAATGGCTCTGGGCTGGGTGTGGTGGCTCACGCCTGTAATTTCAGCACTTTGAAAGGCAGAGGCGGGCAGATCACTTGAGGTCAGGAATTGGAGACCAGCCTGGCCAACATGGTAAAATCCCGTCTCTACTAAAAATACAAAAATTAGCTAGACGTGGTGGTGGGTACCTGTAATCCCAGCTACACAGGAGGCTGAGGCAGGAGAATCGCTTGAACACAGGAGGCAGAGGCTGCAGTGAGCCGAGATCACACCACTGCACCCCAGCCTGGGTGACAGAGTGAGACTCTGTCTCAAAAAAAAAAAAAAAAAGGCTCTGGACTCCTGCTCTAAAACCATTTGTGACTGGATATCATGATTCTTTACATGCTGAGGGATTTTTTTAGGTCAAACTTTTAGAGAGATTTTCCATTTTGAATATGTGAACTATAGATTGGTTTAAAACTGTGTTGTCCAACACCCACTCTAACCCCTGGTTTTGCTCACCTTTCTTTAGCATTTAGAGAAAACTCAAACTTCAGTGTGGGTCAACCCTCAGGACTGTGACTTACAGTGGCACAGGTCGGACACTGCACAAGGGAGCCACTTGTATAAGGGGATATTGTTCAAATACCCACTTATATCGTGTATTGATTGTGATGATTGTTTATGTCAGATACAGCAAAGTGTATTGTTCTGACAAGATCCATATATTATGACAGATTTCCTGGGGGTGGGCATAAGGCCTGTTAAGGGGCACATTTGCCCAGTTCCCATGGAGGCTCCGTTTAGATAGCCCCACCTGTGCTTTTCTTTGGTGGCACTTGGAACTCCAGGGTATAGTTTCTTACACAGGATGTTATTCCCACTCCACAGGCACCAGCAGAGAGGTGGCCAGAGGGAAGGCCGCCTTTCTCCTGACTGCCTGTCTGTAGCACCCACAGCGTGACCCATGCTGTGTGGGTGTGCATGACCTTCTGCACACAGGGCTGCTGTGGGGCCTTTCGGTGGAGGAGGGATTTGCTGATCCTGCTTTGAAAGAGGCCTAACCACACTGATGATGCAGTTCAGGACCTGAAAACCCTCAGCCAGCTACGAGCAACACGACTTGGCGGGCTGATGGAGTCACTGTGGGACATTCCAGGGAGTCTGCCCTGTGTCCTCTTTCCCCGTGAACCAAGTCACCCAGGAGAGAAGAGTTGGAGCAACAGGGCCCGCATCTGCTGCAGGAATTGCAGTCCAGGGCACTGGTATGGTTGGGGGTTAGCGTCCTCAACTGACACCATGACAGAGCCCAGTTTGAGATGGTCATCCATGTATAGGGATTTGTATCGGTAGCTGAAATAAGCTGCTTCATCCCTATTATTTCTAGGCTGAGAAATGGATGCATAGATGGATAATGACTTGTCACAGACATGCCAGCTTCAGGGGCAGGACTGGTGTTTGAGCCACACGCGGCGGATCTTACTCCCCGCTGCCTCAATCTATAGTTTGTGTGAATCCTCACAGTGCTGTGAGCCCTGCTGTGGGTAGAGGTTGTGACTCACTTATTCTTTTTTTATTATTATTTATTTTTTAAAAATTGGGCCAGGTGTGGTGGCTCATGCTTGTAATCCCGGCACTTTGGGAGGCTGAGGTGGGAGGATCACTTGAGTTCAGGAGTTCGAGACCACCTTGGCCAACATAGTGAAACCCCATCACTACTAAAAATACAAAAATTAGCCAGGTGAGGTGGTGTGCACCTGTTATCCCAGCTACTCCGAGCCTGAGGTAGAAGAATCGCTTGAACCAGGGGCGCGAAGGTTGTGGTGAGCTGGGTTTGGGCCACTGCACTCCAGCCTGGGTGATGGAGTGAGATTCTGTCTCAAAAAAAAGAATAATAAAAAATAAATAGGCTGGATGCAGTGGCTCACGCCTGCAATCCCAGCACTTTGGGAGGCCGAGGTGGGCAGATAACCTGAGGTCAGGAGTTCGAGACCAGCCTGACCAACATGGAGAAACCCCTTCTCTACTAAGAAATACAAAAGTAGCCAGGCGTGGTGGTGCGTGCCTGTAATCCCAGCTACTTGGGAGGCTGAGGCAGGAGAATTGCTTGAACCCGGGAGGCAGAGGTTGCGGTGAGCCGAGATCGCACCATTGTACTCCAGCCTGGGCAACAAGAGCGAAACTCTGTCTCATAAATAAATAAATAAACAAATAAACAAAACATTTTATTTTGTAGAGATGGGATCTTGCTATGTTATCCAGGCTGGTCTTGAACTCCTGGGCTCAAGCAGTCCTCCCACCTCAGCCTCCCAAAGTGCTGGGATTACAGGTATGAGCCACCACACCCGGCGTCACTTATTCTTATCTCTCTCGAAGTACCTGTGTGTATTGCACTTAATTAATGTGAATGAATTAATGAAATTACATGTAAGCTAAATTGTGCAAAACCAATGACCTTGTGTTAATACACATTTGGTTGTACAGCTCAAATGAAGTAATGCTTCCTGCTATTGTTAAAATAGTGTTGGTTGCTACTGATGTTGTATGTATGTATGTATGTATGTATTTTGAGACGGAGTCTTGCTCTGTCGCCCAGGCTGGAGTGCAGTGGAGCGATCTTGGCTCACTGCAAGGTCCGCCTCCTGGGTTCATGCCATTCTCCTGCCTCAGCCTCCTGAGTAGCTGGGACTACAGGTGCCCGCCACCACGGCCGGCTAATTTTTTGTACTTTTAGTAGAGACGGGGTTTCACTGTGTTAGCCAGGATGGTCTCGATCTCCTGACCTCATGATCTGCCCTCCTTGGCCTCCCAAGGTGCTGGGATTACAGGCATGAGCCACCGCACCTGGCCTGTTGTATTTATAAGCACCACCTCTTATATGGCAAGCCCTCTTCTGGGTACCAGGGACAGCGAGATGCAGAAGATGAGGCCATGTCCTCAAAAAGGGGAGAGACAGATGCATATTGATTACAGTGGAGTCAGAGGAGTTTTAGTGCAGGCGTGCACAGTAACCACAATGGGGCCAGCCTGGTGAGGACAGTCATGGAATCCCTGTGAATGAACTCTTAGAAGGGTCATGGAGGAGGTGAGCTGGGGTGTAGATGAAGGAGGTGAGCTGGGGTGTAGATGAAGGAGTGTGAGCTGGGGTGTAGATGAAGGAGTGTGAGCTGGGGTGTAGATGAAGGAGTGTGAGCTGGGGTGTAGATGAAGGAGTGTGAGCTGGGGTGTAGATGAAGGAGTGTGAGCTGGGGTGTAGATGAAGGAGTGTGAGCTGGGGTGTAGATGAAGGAGTGTGAGCTGGGGTGTAGATGAAGGAGTGTGAGCTGGGGTGTAGATGAAGGGCTGTCTGGGGGAGGAGCCGTGGGAAGAGGGTCATGGAGGAGTGTGAGCTGGGGTGTACATGAAGGACTGTCTGGGGGGAGGAGCCATGGGGAGAGGGTCATGGAGGAGTGTGAGCTGGGGTGTAGATGAAGAGCTGTTCTGGGGGGGAGGAGGCGTGGGGAGAGGCACAAGGCCTGGAGTGGGCACAGGCAGCTGGGAGGCTCTGTTTGACTGGGGCTGAGCGAAGGAGATGGGGGTGGCAGAAAGGGACAGTGGAGAGGCAGGTAGTCACTCAAGCACCCGCGGCCTCTGGATTTGCCTCCTGGGGCTGCAGTAACAGAGTGCCACAACCTGGGGATCCTCCAACAACAGAAATGTATCATCTCCCAGTTCTGGAGGCTGGTAGGCCGAAATTGAGGTGTCAGTGGGGCCATGCTTCCTCTGCTGGTGCTAGGGTAGAACGCTGCCTCCCTCTTCCTGCTTCTAGTGGGTCTCAGCAATTACCCCAGTCTCTGCCCTGATGGTCACGGGGCTGTCTCCACATTGTCTCCCCTCTGTGCCCATCTGCCTGTGTGTCTAGATTCCCCCTTCCCTTCTTGTTTTTGAGACAGGGTTTTACTCTGTCACTCAGGCTGGAGTGCAGTGCTGCGATTATAGCTCACTGTAGCCTGTCAGTCCTGGGCTCAAGCTATCCTCCCACCTCAGCCTCCTGAGTAGCTGGATGGGAGGATCACTGCAGGCACATGCCACCATGCCCAGCTCATTTAAAATTTTTTTTGTAGAAAAAAAATTAGCTGGGTCTGGTAACTCACGCCTGTAATCCCAGCTACTTGGGAGGCTGAGGCAGGAGAATCACTTGAACCCGGGAGGCGGAGGTTGCAGTGAACCAAGATCGCGCTATTGTACTCCAGCCTGGGCAACAAGAGTGAGACTCTGTCTCAAAAAAAAAAAAAAAAAAAATTTTTTTTTTTTTATAGGACATAGTCTCACTAAGTTACCCAGGCTGGTCTCAAACTCCTGGCCTCAAGTGGTCTCTTCTGCCTCCTGGAGGAGGCTGATGTGGGAGGATCGCTTGAGCCCTGGAGTGAGAGGCTACAGTGAGCTATGATCACAGCACTGCACTCCAGCCTGAGTGACAGAGTAAAACCCCGTCTCAAAAACAAGAGGGGGGGAAAAGAAGTTACTCAGCTTTCTGGGACATGGTTGTTGGTTTCCAGGTGGTCGTTTCCCCCCGGCTTTGTATTAGGAAAATGTTCGAATAGAAGCAGAGCGGTGACCCCGTGTCTGTACAGCCCTCGACTATCCCCGTTTTGGTCTTGTCCCCACCCGCTCCCCACCCTAAGTTATATTTGTACACTTTTTCTGACTTCCTGCAGGCTTTTTAGGCAAGTTGTGGTACAAAATCCGTTTTGTCACTTGTAGACGTTGTGACTTTGGGCCCATGACACCTTATCCCTGAGCCTCGCTTTTCATTTATAAAATTGGGGGCCTGGCACAGTGGCTCACGCCTGTAATCCCAGCACCTTGGGAGGCCGAGGCGGACGAATCACAAGGTCAGGAGATCGAGACCATCCTGGCTAATACGGTGAAACCCCATCTCTACTAAAAATACAAAAAATTAGCCAGGTGTGGTGGCGGGCGCCTGTAGTTCCAGCTACTTGGGAGGCTGAGGCAGGAGAATCACTCGAACCTGGGAGGCGGAGGTTGCAGTGAGCCAAGATCGTGCCACTGTACTCCAGCCTGGGCGACAGAGCAAGACTCTGTCTTAAAAAAAAAAAAAAAAAAAAAAAAATTGGGATGACACCTGGCAACCACCCGAGCAGCAAATGTGTGCAAAATGCTCCGCGCCGTGCCTGGCAGACACGGCTGCCAACCAGCCATGTGCCTGAGACAAGCCCTGGCAGCCTCAGACCTGGGCCCTGGCCTGCAGCTGTTCCTGTCCCTGGCAAAGACGGGTATCCCTGCTAAAGTCACTCGCCAGCCAGACCGGGCAGGGTGGTGGGGGCCCTTGGTCCAAAACACCTGCCTCTCGAGGGATGCCTGTCTGTGAGCATCTCACAGCTCCTTGCGCGAATACTGACATGTTAACAAGAGGTCAAAATTCAGGGCTCTTTAAGGAAGCTTCTAGGAAGAAACAACTGAGGAATCAAAGAGAAGAAGTGAAATGACAGTCAACAGTGGGCTGGTAAAAGCCACACAGGGCAGTGCTGCTCCAACTTCCTTGAGTTCTCAAATCTGCCCGGATCTTGCTCCAATGGGATTGGGGCTCTGCAGGCTGGAGGCTGCCTGGGGCTCTGTGTCTCTAGCAACCCCTGCCCTGCTGAGAGCAACAGCCCACAACTGGGGCAGTGAGGCAGGGGGCAGAGTGGGACCTGCGGGTCCCCCTGCATGCTTTCATATGTCCTGTGAACTAAGAGTGGGTTTTATATTATTATCATTATTATTATTATTATTATTATTATTATTATTTTGAGATGGAGTCTCATTCTATCTCCCAGGCTGGAGTGCAGTGGTGTAATCTGGGCTCACTGCAACCTTTGCCTCTTGAGTTCAGCCTCCCGAGTAGCTGCGATTACAAGCGTGTGACCTCATGCCCGGCTAGGCTAATCTTTGTATTTTTAGTAGAGACGAGGTTTCATCATGTTGGCCAGGCTAGTCTCGAACTTCTGGCCTCAAGTGATCCGCCTGCCTCAGCCTCCCAAAGTGCTGGGATTACAGATGTGAGCCACCACACCTGGCCGGGTTTTACATTTTTAAATGGTTAAAAAAAAAAACAAAAGAATAATCTTTGTGACACATTCAAATTTCAGTGCCCATGAAGTTTCGTGGGAACGGGCACGCCTGCCCTTTATTACTGTCTGTGGCTGCTGTCATAGGGCGGAATTGAGCAGCTGTGACGGGCCCCTCCCTGGGGCCAGCACAGTGCAACGTTCCCTCTCCAGCCTTGACCCAGGCCCCGCCTGTGCCCCGCGTCGCTGCAGCCGGCAGGGGGCAGCAGAAAGCCACGCGCACGCCCGGTCCGTGCAGGAGCCGCAGCGGGGACGCGGGGGATTTGCGACCCGGGCCGAAGCGGAGGTTTCCTAGCTGGGGTCTGAGATGTGGACCTGAGGCAGAACTGCCCGTGGGGGATAGCAGGAGGAGACGAGGTGGGGGTGACAGTAATCGTGCAGGCAGGGCCGGCCTCACCGGGTAGGCAGGGCAATAAGGGACAATTGGTTTGCTGGAGTGAAAGGGCAAGGCCTGCAGGCGGAGGGGTGACCCCGCAGGGTGGGGCACCCCGGAAGCCACGTGGGCCTGGACTTCAGACCACGCCATAGGGAGTCACTGAAGGGTTCCAGGTGGTAGTGTGATAGCCTCAGATTCTCTAAGAGGGATGTGGCTTTTTGGTGACTGTGCCTCAGGATACTGTTGCCACAACCAGGGACAGAGTGACAGTGAGGGCTGTAAGGCCACATAGGGCAGGAGGGACCCAGGGCAGGGTGACAGTGAGGGCTGTAAGGCCACATAGGGCAGGAGGGACCCAGGGCAGGGTGACAGTGAGGGCTGTAAGGCCACATAGGGCAGGAGGGACCCAGGGCAGGGTGACAGTGAGGGCTGTAAGGCCACATAGGGCAGGAGGGACCCGGGGCAGGGTGACAGTGAGGGCTGTAAGGCCACATAGGGCAGGAGGGACCCGGGGCAGGGTGACAGTGAGGGCTATAAGGCCACATAGGGCAGGAGGGACCTGGGGACAGGGTGACAGTGAGGGCTGTAAGGCCACATAGGGCAGGAGGGACCCAGGGCAGGGTGACAGTGAGGGCTGTAAGGCCACATAGGGCAGGAGGGACCTGGGGACAGGGTGACAGTGAGGGCTGTAAGGCCACATAGGGCAGGAGGGACCTGGGGACAGGGTGACAGTGAGGGCTGTAAGGCCACATAGGGCAGGAGGGACCTGGGGACAGGGTGACAGTGAGGGCTGTAAGGCCACATAGGGCAGGAGGGACCCGGGGCAGGGTGACAGTGAGGGCTGTAAGGCCACGTAGGACAGGAGGAACCCGGGGCAGGGTAACACTGAGGGCCGTAAGGTCACATAGGGCAGGAGGGACCTGGGGACAGGGTGACAGGGCTATAAGGCCACGTAGGACAGGAAGAACCCGGGGCAGGGTAACACTGAGGGCTGTAAGGTCACATAGAGCAGCGGGGGGGGACCTGGGGGCAGGGTAACAGTGAGATCTGGAAAGTCACATAGAGCAGGAGGGACTCGGGGCAGGGTGACAGTGAGGGCTGTAAGGTCACATAGACCTGGGGACAGGGTGACAGTGAGGGCTGTAAGGTCACATAGACCTGGGGACAGGGTGATAGGTGAGGGCTGTAAGGCCACGTAGGGCATGGGGGACCCAGGAACAGGGTGACAGTGATGGCTGTAAGGCCACATAGGGCAGGGGGATCCAGAGACAGGAGCACCCTGTGGTATATTGCCGCCCGCAGACTGCTGTGCACCAGCTGTCTCCCAGGTCTGTGCTCGCCCCAGGATGGGCAGGATGAGCAGCGTGGCTGTTTTTCTCTTGCTTCCATGGCCAGCACACTGCAGTCAGGCTGTTTTTTGCTTGGACCTGGATGTTTTCTCTCAGGGGGCTCCTGCAGGTGCTAGCTTTGGTCCCTGACCAGCTGGTCCTACTAGTTGAGTGCCCGGGCTTCAGGCAAGACTGTGTTGTACCTTTTCATTCTGTCTTAGGGAAGTATTTCTTAATGGGGAGGGGAAGGGTCACAGGTGCCTTATAGAATCCTGTGAAAGCCAGATGTCCCCCAGATGAACCCCAGAAAATGCACACAGGCAGGTGGACTCGGAACTTTAGCCATGATTTCAAAGACTCCTGCACTCGCTATGGCCAGCCTGGCTAAGGACCCTGATCTAGGGGCTGCCTTCTTCCTTTGAGGCTTGGGGCTTGGTGTTGAGAGCTTAACATCACATGCTATTTGCCCTCCCAAAGGCCAGCCCATCTGATTTTCTTACTGTCCGTGTCCTTCAGTGGGTCTTATGGAAGTGATGTTTCCATATGTAAATGGTTTTTTTGGAATGGCTGAAATCCCCCAAGCTTCGGCACAGGAGCTAGACTGCCTCCCAGGGTGGCAGGCCCGGTGTTCTGGTCTGTGTATTGGGCAGAGTGGAGCCCTCTGGGAACCTCCCTTAGCAGGAGAATGCTGCTTCCTTCCCAGCCCCCTGCTGGACGAGGACTGGTCTCTTCCTATGCATTTGGCCAGGGAACACTGTGTTCACAGAACTGGGAACATGCTGAGTTTTATTTCTGGCGTCTTAACACATCATAAAAACCTCTTTTCTTGAAACAAAAAGAGTACTATATCAGATGCAGTCTTATTTAGGAAATTATTAGCCTCTGTAACTAGAAATAAGTAGATTACAGTTTTTAAAAGATTAATTTAATCTTCATCACAAGGCAAGCTTACAGGAATAGATTCATTCCATTATGAAATGTTTCCAAAGGACGAATGGAAGATTTAGAAAATCTAATCCAATATCAACTTTTAATAAAAGTAGTCATTCCCAACAATTATGGTTTCATAATGTGTGTGTATGTTTAAATGACTTTAGGAGAGTACAATTTCCATAACATAAAATGTGTCTTTTCAGTCTACAATGCAATGATTTTGAGTAAATTTACAAAGTTGTACAACCATCTCTACACTCTAATTTTGGAACATTTCTATCACCTCAAAATGATCTCTTACTTTTTAATCACAAGAAATGATACTAGAGAAAATAATTTTA